>NC_000006.12:14756969-14908484 GCF_000001405.40 Homo sapiens
ACAAAACAAAAGAAGAATCGATTTAAAAACATCAAATAGTGATAGTGCTCTCTATGCAGGAGTATTTAAAAACAAAACAAAACACTAATGTGAAAGAAAGTGAACAAGTGAGTACTTTACAGTCTGAGAAAGCCTCTCTGAGAAGATCATGTTTGTCAGGCTATCTAAACCATGTGAAGAGTAAGTGAACAGCAGTCCAGGTAGATGAATAGCTCGTGCAAAGGCCCTGGGGTAGGGTGAAAGGGAAGGTTCACAGAGCTGAGTGAAGGCCAGTGTGCAGTAATTCTCAATGGGGCTTCAGTGACAATATGATGTGTGACTGTTCCATGCACTTGGGGATTTGTAGCATCCCTGGCCTCCCTCCCACTAAATGCTGGTCAAGCCCCTAGTCCTAACTACTGAAAACTAGACACACACACTTTTTCCAGTGGCATTTGGGCAGCTGTAGTGCTGCCCTAGTCAAGAAGCACAGCAGGCAGGAATGAGCACAGTTTAAGGGGGACAAAGAGGAAGGTGGGCCTGCATCACACCAGCCTTTGTAGGCAGTTGTATTATTTTCCTAGGACTACTGTAATGAAGTACCACAAATTGGGTGGCTGAGATAACACAACTTTATTAACTCACCATTCTGCAGACTGGAAGTCTAAAATCAAGGTGTCAGCATTTCTAGTTCCTTCTGAGGTCTGCAAGGGAGGATCTGTCCCATGCCTTTCTTCTAACTTCTCGTGGGCTCAAGCATTTTGCTTTGTAGACACTGTGCTCCCTGTGCCTTCACATTGTCTTCCCTCTGTACATGTCTGTCTCTGGGTCTAAATTGCCTTTTTCATAAGGGCATCAGTCATATTGGTTTAGGGCCCACCTACCAACCCCATCTTACCTTAATCATCTGCAAAGAACCTATTTCCAAATAAGGTTACATTCACAGGTACTTGGGACTTCAGCATCTTTTGGGCGAGACACAGTTCAACCCATAATACAGGATATGGGATTTGGATTTTATTCTAAATGTAATCTCTTGGAGAATTTTAAGGAGGTGAGTGACATGATCTGATTTCTGTTTTTAAAAGGTCGCTCAGGTTGCCGTGTGGAGAATGGATTATTGGCGGCAAGACCAGAAGCAGGGATACCAGTGAATGCAAAAATTCAGGCAGGAGATGCTGGTGGCTTGGAAGAAGGTGTCCTGGTAACTGTGGTCAGGTATGTTCAGCACTTAGGCAGGTGGGGCCTCTCAAAGAACTGAACTAAGAAGTAGGCTAACACATCCAATGCTCTGCTAGGGAAAGCTGTCTGGGGACAGCCCACCCAAGTACAAACTGTGGGACCTGAAGGCAGGCAGCCTTCAAGTAGAGACCAGAAGATGACCTAGACAAGTTTCTGAGTGCAGAGGACAGAATTAGGAGATCTTCCAAGTGCCCTTCCAACTGCAGGGGTATATAGTGCTAACAATATCCACACTGTAAGTCAAGACAAGAATCTGCCTCTGCCATGTTGGGCAACTCAGGCCGAGCATTTACATGAGAGGGCAATGGCCTCGTTACCTCACTCTTGCTCCATCCCTCTCTCCAGCTGACAATGGCATACACCAGGGCCACACACTGCCACTTCCTTTTCAGAGCTGTACCAATACACATCCCTTCCAATCAATTAATATTTCCATCTCAGTGAACAAGAACAAGTTAACACGCTGACAGTGTGGGCTACCTTCCAGGGTTTGTCTGCTGACAGATTAAAAAGTATGTCAACATGGCTTGATATTAACAAATATTGCAAAGCAGGAGCCTTTGTTTGTTTTGTTTTGTTTTGTTTTCCTAGTTTATTGGTAGTGCTGGCGAACCCACGCCTGCATTCATCCAAAGGTAGACCGACCAGGTGATGTCAGCCCAGCCAAGACCTCAGTATGTGAAAGTGCTGGTGAACTGCAGCAGCCAGTCAGTTGCTCACTCCTGCTGGGTGAATCAGCCAGGAGAAGAGCAGCCAGCGAGTAGGTGTGCAGCTTCTTTATTATGCAATTGGAGGGGATGACATGGTTGTCATAAGATGCACTTTTAAGTGGCTGAGTTTTCAATATCGAAGGTGAAAGCAATAGAAGATTTTTGCAACTTTTAAAGAAAAGGTTTTTTTTTTTAATGGTGTCTTTTAATTTTTTAAATAAAGCACTAAATGAACCTTTTCTCACTCTCCATCCTCTCTGGCTGCCTGCTCACAAATAGTGATTAAGGGCTGTCTGACATCCAAGGTCACTGGACTGGCAGGGATACAGAGCCCCTCTAGAAGAGGGTTTGCCAACTATGGCCCACCGCTCCATTCCAGCCCACCATCTGCTTCTGTGCACCCCATGAGCAAAGCCTGGCTTTCACATTTTTAAATGGTTAAAAAAAATCAAAAAAGCCATATGTCATAACACACGACTCACATTTCATCACACATGAAAATTAAAATTACGGGAAATTCAAGTTTCAACATCCATAAAGAAAGGTGTATTGAAACATGGCCATGCTCATTTGTTTACATATTATCTATGACCGCTTTCATGAAATAACAGCAAGGTTGAACAGTTTTCAGAGACTGTGTGGCCTATAAAGTCTAAAATGTTGACTGATTCTTTAGAGGAAAAAGTTTGATGACTCCTACTATAGAGTTTGAGGAAGAAGCATACTGGATCCTGTTATTTGGTCTCTATGCATTTTCTTTTTTCTTTTTTCTTTTTTTTTTTTTTTTTTTTTGAGACGGAGTCTTGCTCTGTCACCCAGGCTGGAGTGTAGTGGTGCGATCTCAGCTCACTGCAACCTTCACCTCCCGGATTCAAGCAATTCTCCCTGCCTTAGCCTCCCGAGTAGCTGGGATTACAGGCGTGCACCACAACACCCAGCTCATTTTTATGTATTTAATTGAGAGGGGGTTTTGCCATGTTGGCCAGGCTGGTCTCAAACTCCTGACCTCAGGTGATCCACCTGCCTTGGCCTCCCAAAGTGTTGGGATTACAGACGTGAGCCACTGCATCTGGCCTCTAGGCATTTTCAATTACTCTCCTAACTGTTTTAGATTACTTTTATTCATTTAAAAATCTACATTAAGCTCCTAACTAGGCAGGCAACATGCTGGGTCCTGGAGGTACAACTGAGAACAATGAGGGACAGTCCCTGTTCTCAGAGCTGAAAGTCCAGTAGAAGAGCAGGTGTTCATCACACCATGCAAATGCAGTCTACCAAAAAACAATAACCTTGGCAAGTGTTCAGACGGGAGGTCCATAGAGCTATAAAAGCACAACATAGGTGAATTGACCTCCTGTTCTGGGATATCAAGGAAGATATGCCAAAGTGTAGATTAATGATTGATCTGGAATTTGTAGGAAACGTTGAAGCTAGGAAGGGAAGAGGGAAGACAAGGAGTATTTCAATTTCTTGACCATATCCTTCTTACTTTCTTCCAGTCCTTACTGTACTGGGATGGGGTGAAGCACAGAAAAGGAAGGGAACAAGCATGATGAGGCAAAGGTGGAGGGTTAGGTAGGATCCAAGCTATGCAGATAAGAATGGTGGGAAGTTGTGCAAGATGTTCTCAGCAGCACTATGCCATTAGCAAAACTCTGGAAGCAACCAAAAGACCAGAGGAGAATCGATAAATAAAAACTGTTGTATTCACACAATGGAATATTAAAAAGCAGCGAAAGCAAATCCACTACAACCACATGCAACAACATGGGTGAGTCTTAGCAACACGTTATGAAATAAACAAAGCAGGTCCCAGTAGATAACACATAATACGACAAACTTTTCAAAAATTTAAAGGTAACTAAAATTTAACAAGACATATTTTAGGAATATACTACTGTAATAAAACCATGTTTCAATAAAGCAAAGAAATAGTCAAGTACAAGGCTTAGAGTTGTGAGTTGACAGTGTTAGGGGTTGGGGAGAAGCACTCAGGTAGATAAATGTTGTGAATGTTCCATTTTTTGTGGGCAATAGATTCATAGGTATTTATTATACTAAAAATTCGAGGCCAGGCATGGTGGCTCACACTTGTATTATAATATCAGCATTTTAGGAGGCTAGGGCAAGAGCACTGCTTGAGCCCAGGCTTCAGTGAGCTAGGACTGCACCACTACACTCCACCTTGGGCGTCAGAGCAAAACCCTGTCTCAAGAAAAAAACAAAAAATCAAAATAGCCATGAGCCTGATGTAACTATTACACATTGTATGCCGGTATCAAAATATCTCATGTATCTCATAAATATACAAACCTACTAGGTACTCACAAAAGTTAAAAATTTAAAAAAAAATGAAAACAAAACAAAATGGCCGTGAGATGTCATGGCAATTTATAACAGAGGGTGGCATGTTCAACATGCTCATTTGCAGTTCAACATAATCTCTCTGGCTGAATTCTGGAGAATTCTTTGGAATGGGGCAAGAGTGGAAGCAGGTAGCCCCGTGAAGAGGCTACTGTCAATGTACAGCCAGAGATGAGGGAGGCTTAGACTTGGGGAAGGTGGCAGAGGCAGAGAGAATCGTACCTTTGCTCAGACTGACTTGCTATCCATGCTTACATTTAGGGCATCGGTATTAAAGAAACATCAACTCAACACTCTATTAAGTAGATGCTAGGAAATAAAATGAATCAGGTGGGAGCTAAATGATGAGAACTTATGAACACAAAGAAGGGAACAGCAGACACTGGGGCCTACTGGAGGGGGGAAGGTGGGAGGAGGGAGAGGAGCAGAGAAGGTAACTATTGGGTACTGGGCTTAATACCTGGATGATGAAATAATAGGTACAACAAACCCCCATGACACGTGTTTACCTATGTAACAAACCTTTACGTGTGCCCCCGAACATAAAATAAAAATTAAACTGTAAAAAAAAAAGGAAATTAATCAGGACAGTGCCTTTGACAATAGATTTCCAAGTCATCCCATTAGAAAAGGTGTTATCAGGTGAATCAACATAGACTCCATCTGAATGATGATTTGGAGATAATCTGAGCATTATCATCCAGGGTAGCTAGCATAAGAGAGCTCCAGAAAATCCTCTTATCTCCTAGAAAAGTAAGAGAAAAATCACAACAAAACTATAACTGGACAATGTCACCCCCATCCTCCCAGGGAGGTTTTCTCCCCTCACTTTTATTGTACCTGTCTTCTACCTCCACAAATGTACCTGTCTCCTACCTCCACAATTTACTACTTCTCTGAAGTAACAATTCTGGGAAACTGATTTCCCAACCATCATGTTTAGTTTGGCCAACTGCTCACTCGTGACTGCAATTTTAGGTACAAGGGTCAAGGCTAAAGTCCAGCAAAGACGAGTGATGATTCTGCGACCCATTCTCACAGGAAGGCTTGGAGTCATTCATGGGTGGCCGCCGTCTTCTCTTCACTAGGCAGCTGGTGGTACATCAGAAGGCAACTCGTTGTAGGCCTTCCAGGTTCGGGCTGCTTGGTCTCTCACCAGTTCTCTACTATGAGGCTGCCCAGTGAAGTGAAGCTTAGGATTCGGGGCTGTTATCTTAGCTCCACCCTTACTAGCTAAGGGACCTCGGGGCGGGGTGGGGTGGGCCATGGACCTGTGAATCTGTGACAACACAGATGTAGGCACTCTGCAAATGTTAGTCACCATCCCCAGGAAGCAATCTCAAAACACCCCTCCTCCCTGCCATAGATGCTGCTGGGTTTCTCTGCATCATTATCAAATGGTCCAGTATAACTTCAACTTCTCTCCAACCAGCCTGATTTTCCCCACAGACACAGGACAGAAGAACAAGGAGCAGGAGCTGGCTGATGCTGTTCTTGGTGGTCATAGATCTTTTTGTCCACCCTCGTGGACAGGCTTTATCCTCTGCAGTGCCCAGAGGCTTCTTTCTTTCATTTTCGGCTCTTTTCTTTTTTTAAATCCAGTCGCTTGTTGGTTATCATACTTGCAAAGCAAACAATTGGGGGGTGGAGGGGAAGAAGAAAAAACGTAATGGGCCAACCACACTTTCCTCCATCACACCCCATCTCCTGAGCCAACAGGTCTACTTGTCTTCTTCCAGTTCCCTTCCCCAAGAAATAACAATGCATGACATTATTTACAAAATGAGTTTCACAGTTCCAAGTTTTGAAGCCTTTCAACTGAGTTTTCCGACTCTGGGGATATTAGATAAGAATCTGCTGTCAAATGATATGAATAATAATAATGATAATCTTTTACAAGGGCTGTGAAACCCCTAAAGAACAACAGATTTTGAATTCTGAGAAATCCAGAGGGTGGCTCTCTCAGACAGCCTCACACAGGGGAGCTCCGATGGCACTGGGGGTCGGGGCGGAGGCAGGATGCTCACCCAAGAGCATCCTCAGCATGCATTCACATGCCCAGTGGACTTGGGAATTATGTACTCCAGTAACCCTGACGAGATCACAGTTCACTCATTTACATTGCATATTGAACAGACTTGCCCCGAGTAACAGATAAACATATTTACATGGATTATGAGTCATAGCCCTGAAGAGCTGGAAAAGGTCTAGAAATCATCAAACCAAACTTGCTCATGTTACAGAAAAGGACACTGAGGCCTGGAGACCGCAAGTTACTGGTCCAGTCACACTCAGTAGCAGGGCTGGGGCTCAGATATTGCTTTCCAAGTGCCCAGTGTCTCCGAACTTTAGTGGAATTATTCTGTTATCTTACAACAGACAGAAAAGCAGTGAGGAAAACAAGATGGAGAAAAATGAAATTGAAACAGAGAAAAGGATGGAAGAGATAGTGACAGAAATTACAGGAGAGACTGTCTGCCCCATCCATCTTTATCTTTCTCTGTATCTGCTTGATCTCATTCTTTTCTGTAACCTGTCTCCACCCTGTCTCCCACAGGCTGGCTCGTAAAACAGCATAGCATTATTTAGTTTATTCCAAATACAGCTGATCCTCAAACAACATGGGTTTGGGCTACAGAGTCCACTTATTCATGGATTTTTTTCTGCCTCTGCCACCCTTGAGACAGCAAAACCAATCCCTCCTCTCCCTCCTCCTCCTCAGCCAACTCAACCTGAAGACAATGAGGGTAAAGATCTTTATGATGATCCACTTCCATTTAATGAATAGTAAACATATTTTCTCTATGATTTTCTTTTTTTTTTTTTTTAATGGAGTCTCAAATAGGTACACTTGTGGAGTACATTGTGGAGGTAGGAGACAGGTACACAGGCTGGAAGGCAATGGCGCCATCTCGGCTCACTACAACCTCTACCTCCTGGGTTCAAGCGATTCTCCTGCCTCAGCCTCCTGAGTAGCTGGGATTACAGGAATGTACCACCATATCTGGCTAATTTTTGTATTTTCAGTAAAGACAGAGTTTCACCATATTGGTCAGGCTGGTCTCAAACTCCTGATCTCAGGTAATCCACCCGCCTTGGCCTCCCAGAGTGCTGGGATTAAAGGCATGAGCCACCGTTCCCGGCCTCTATCATTTTCTTAATGACATTTTTTCTCTAGCTAACTTTATTGTAAGAATACCATATATGATACATATAACATACAAAATATGTGTTGATCAATTGTTCCTATTATCCACAAAATTTCTGGTCAATAGTAGACTATTAGTAGTTAAGTTTAGGGGAGATCAGATTTTCCACTACACAGAGAGTCAGCACCCCAACGCCCTAGTGGTTCAAGGTCAACTGCACTTTTAAAGAGGGCCTGCAATGAGCAGAACATTAGTGGGGCTGAGAAGAGTCAGGGCAAATTTCTCAGTATCTTTGCACCATGCCCACCCAGGCCCATTCCCCCCCCACTGCCAGTGAGAATGTGAGACCTGATCATTTAGGCCTAAAAGTGCAGCTCACAAGCATCATCTGGCACTGACAAAAAGACAGAGTCATGGCCGGGAGTGGTGGCTCACACATGTAATACCAGAGGTTTGAGAGGCTGAGGTGGGAGGATTGCTTGAGGCCAGGAGTTCAAGACCAGCCTCGGTAACATAACGAGATCCCTGTCCAAACAAAAAGTTTAAAAATTAGCCAGCTGTGGTGGTACATGCCTGTAGTCCCACCTACTCAGGAGGCTGAGGTGGAAGGATCACGTGAGCTCAGGAGTTAGAGGTTGCAGAGACCTATGATCCTGCCACTGCACTCCAGCCTGGGCCACAGAGCAAAGCCCTGTCTCAATAAATAAATACATAAATAGATTCTTGGGTACCGCCCCAAACCTAAGGGATCAGAACCTGCCTGTTAACAAGATGCCTAGATGACTCGTAGGCACATTGAAGTGTGAAGCAATGACGTGGAGGGCATTAGAAATGGCTCTTCACCTACATGCCTCTTTCAGTCACAAACTTGCTTCCAGGCCCCGGGAAGAAGACAGGTCAGAGATTTCAAAGATTGAGTAAAATGTACAGTCTTTAAAATGCTAAAATCTGGCCAGGCATGGTGACTCATGCCTGTAATCCCAGCACTTTGGGAGGCTGAGGTGGGTGGATCATTTGAGGTCAGGAGTTCGAGACCAGCCTGATTAACATGGTGAAACCCCGCCTCTGCTAAAAGTACAAACATTAGCCAGTGGTGGTGGCGGGCACCTGTAATCCCAGCTACTTGGGACAGTGAGGCAGGAGAATTGCTTGAACCTGGGAGGTGGAGGCTGCAGTGAGCTGAGATCATGCCACTGCATTCCAGCCTAGGCGACAGAGCAAGACTCCATCTCAAAAAAAAAAAAGCTAAAATCCATCCTGGGATATATGTCAGGAACAGGAATCCATTGAAAATAGGACACCCCACAGCACTCCAGTGTGGTTTGGCCTTTCCTCTTCAGGCCAGATGTCATCCTGTGACAAAGTCCCAAGAATCCCTATGACAAGTGGAGTTTTGCGAAATCTGAAGGGATGTAGATTTCCAATATTTCCAGCCACTCCTGAATCAGAAAAGTATAAAGAGTGGAAAATATTTAATATTTTGAACTTGCCCAATTATGAGGCAAAGCTAATCTGTTTCCATCCCTTGCTGGAAAAGGGGAACTGGGGTGGGGTGGTGTAGGAAGATGTGGCTAGTCCTGCTGCTTCAAAGAGGCAACTTTGCAGCCAAGGTTTTCTAATGAGGAGCCTGGTGGCAAAATCAAAATAAAAAATTAGCAAGAGAAAATTTTCAGTTGTCAGTTCCACTTAGGGAGTAAGACAAAGAATAAAAAGCATCGTATGGAAAAACAGTTCCAACATTGAAGCTGGTGAGGGAATATTGACTTATATCCTTATTTTTCCCAAGTGCCATGTCATCCCATGTGTCACACTGATACCAATGAGGATTTCTTGTTACATAATCCCTTTGCCAACATCAGGAAATAGTCCTGCCTTTGATCTAAACAGATGTGATCTTGAGAGTTACCCTCCTTACAAATCTCCAGTTAGGCTACTCGAAATAAGATTTCTGAAAGGGGAGAGAAGAGGAGAAAAGTACACATCAACATAGAATGAGTAAGCTTTAAAAAAAAAAAAAAAAAAAAGAGCAAATTCTACAATGTGCATCCTATGAATAGACACTGCCAATATGTGATGTATATAAAGCATTCTACACCCTTCAGAGGTTTTACGTCATCTGCAGATTTTGCCAATCATGTTCATATTTATAGCCACATGCAACTCTTCGTGACACAAAAGCTAAAACAAAGGCCAAAACTTCTACCCTGTAGAATCTGAATTCTGTTGCTTTCCACCTTGTCTACACACACATACATACACACACACACATGCACACACAAGCCATTACCATAAAACAGCCCTCCCATGCCCATCACAACCATGTAACATCATGTTGTTATTCAACGAAGACTTCCACGCAAAGGTCTCAGCCACCAAGAATGAAAGCAAGCCTCACTCCCACATCGGATTGCCCTTGTCATATGGAGAGAAGATGTGCAACTTGGCTTCTGAATTGGAAATGCTCAGGGGAAAAAAAAAAAAAAAAAAAAGACTTCAGGATCTCAGCAAAACTCCGAAGTTACCACCTCACTCGTTCAACATGATCATAAAATAACACACGTGTGTATACTTTCATGCCCCCATATGCTTTCTAGGCCTTCAAAAGATATTTTTCTCTATTTTTATTGAACTTTGAATGCAGCCCCGCAACAATGAAACTCTGAGGCTGTTCCAGTCTGCTTTATATTTGAGCTGGCTCCGAGCAAGACAAGTAAATTGTAGTTCAGTTCCCTCCTGCTATAAAAATCAGCAAACCTGAGCTCTGTTTTCTTCTCGTCATGGGCAGGTTGTTCATAGCCAGGACCCAGTTCAAATAACTTGAGATATTTTGCCTCTTCACAAAAAGTTGGGGGGCTAGGACGCAGAGGAAAAAAAAATCCTTTAAATCAGTCATAAGCCCTCCGAAATGGAAGGCACTGAGAGGAAGGGAGTGTTTGGCTCACTGCCATTTTGCAAATGTGTTTTCAAAACCAATTACGATGCAGTGATCAAGCAGTATATCTGTTCCTACACCAAAATCCTTAGACCAATCAGCGGGGTGGGGCTTTCTTGGACTCCCTGGTTCTTGGGAATGGGGGAACAGTTCTCTGTAGAAGGCTCTTGATATAAGAAAGGATTTCGTTCTCAAAAGGACATCTTTTATTCCTCCATCTGTTTCCTCTCACAGTACAATTTGGGGTCAACTCAGGTCTTAGAACATTTCAAGGGATAATTTGGCACTTTCTTTCCATAAATGTGAATATGTCGACTGCAAAGGGCTTACTTTTCCTGCCTCTTTCACCACAGAGAAGTACGGGGTGAAGGGAACACTCCCCAACTTGCCTCTATCTGAGGATATATTATCAATAGACAGGGAGTGAATGACTTTTGAAGGGCAAAAAAAGGACACCCCCAAAGAAAAAGGTGGTAATTGAATTTGTTTTCAAAAACTGCAAATCCCTGTATCTGCTTAAAGCAAATGAGGCGCTAGTGCTGCAAAGACCATTGTTCCTCTCAGGCAGTATCTCCCCAAGTGGAAGAAGACTGGACAGCCTTTGACATAGCCACTGTGTCTCTTCAAATGGTGAGCTTTGTCTCCTCAAGTTCAAACTACTGGGATGCAGCATGGAGTTAGTGGACACTCAGTGACAAATGGCTTACAATTTTTATAGGAATCCAAGAAAAAAGGAGGAGAAAGCAAAAACAAAGAAACTTTTTTTTCTTTTTCTTTCTTTTGAGATACTGTTTTACTCTGTCACCCAGGCTGGAGTGCAGTGGCACGATCTTGGCTCACTGCAACCTCCCCCTCCCGGGGTCAAGCAATTCTTGTGCCTCAGCCTCCCCAGTAGCTGGGATTACAGGCACGCACTACCACACCCAGCTAATTTTTGTATTTTTAGTAGAGACAGTGTTTCATCATGTTTGCCAGGCTGGTCTGGAACTCCTGCCTGGCCTCAAGTGATCTGCCCACTTTGGACTCCCAAAGTGCTGGGATTACAGGCATAAGCCACTGCACCCAGCCAACAAAGAGATTTTTAATTCTGCTACTGAAAGACTAAACTGTCACTGCTCCTAAGCTTCTTGCCCTCTTCAGTGGGGTGAGCTCCCTGAATGTAGAGGTAATCAAGCTGACGGTGTGATGGCTGCCACAGAGTACAAGCCACGCAATCTCTATCACCACCATATCAGGTGCCCTGGCTATTTCCCCAGCATCAGGGATCCTCTCCTCCTCCCTGTCCGCATAACTCAAGAGTACAGGAAGCAACACCCACTTCCAGTATAATCCAGTATTTTATTTTCAAACATAGTGCTAAAGAGAAATTGAAAATAAAATCGTTTACAATAAAATGACCCTTGTGAAAGAATAACTAATTTTATACAATGCTCTGTACCACCAGGGAAAGAAGAAGGGGAAATGAATACAAAAGAGAAATAAGAACTTGCTTAAATGGATAGGTAAGTTTTTCAGATGGTGTCAAGATATATACCTTGGTAAAATAAAAAGATTATATTTTTAAAATTAAAATATGAAAATTTTTCTAAAAATGAATACCAGGGTGGACGCGCTCATGCCTGTAATCCCAGCACTTTGGGAGGCCAAGGCAGAAGGATTGCTTGAGGCCAGGAGTTCGAGACCAGCCTGGCCAATGTGGTGAAACCCCATCTCTAGTAAAATTACTAAAATTAGCTGGGTGTGGTGGTGCTCACCTGTAATCCCACCTACTTGGGGGGCTGAGGCATGAGAATTGCTTGAACCGGGGAGGCAGAGGTTGCAGTGAGCAGAGATCGCACCACTACACTCCAGCCTGGGCAACAGAGTTAGACTCTGCTCAAAAAAAAAAAAAAATTAATACTAGACATAATAATTAGATGTAACAGTTATTAATTTAAAAAGTTTTATTAAAACTTTTTTTAAGTTGTAAGTGCAGTTTTTTTATTTTGGTAGTTGTTGCGGCTGGGTTTGTTTGTTTTGGTTTTGGCAGACGCATTCTTATAGAACAGTAGAGCCCTGCTCTAGATTTCTTAGAAAGTACTTCTGTCTCTCTCCTCATTCAGCCCCAGGACTATCACACTCCCCAACAAGGAGGGGAGCATCACAAGGAAGGGAGTTGATATGGTGAGGCTGGCCCTGACCAGGAAGGAGCAGCTGCTGGGAAGCTGGATGCTAAGACCCTCCCAGCCTACCAGGATGCTATGGGCAGAATGTTTGTGTCCTCCCACAATTCCTACGTTGAAGCATTAACCCCCCATGATGGCATTTGGAGGTGGGGCTTTAAGAGGTAATTCGTTTTAGATGAGGCTGTAAGGGTGGGACCCTCAAGATGGGATCAGTGTCTGCTGTGGTCTGAATGTTGGTGTTCCCCCAGAATTTATATGTTGAGACTTAACCTTCAAGGTAATGGTATTAGAAGGTAGGGCCTTTGGGAGGTGATTGGATCAGAGGGGTGGAGGCTTCACAAATGGGATTAGTGTCTTTAAAAAAGAGGCTGTAGAGAAACTGCTTCCCCCTCATGTGAGGACGCAATAAGACACCATCTTTGAAGCAGAAAGTAGCCCTCACCAGACACTGAATCTGTTGACACCTTGATCTTGGACTTCCCAGCCTGCAGAACTATAAGCAGTACATTTCTGTTGTTTATAAATTACCCAAGCTCAGGTATTTTGTTACAGCAGCCAAAACAGACTAGGACAGTACCCTTATAAGAAAAGGAAGGCAGAAATCTCCCCCTCTTTCCACGAGCACACACCAACAAAAGGCCATGTGAACACACAGTGAGAAGGCAGCTGTCTACAAACCAGGAAGAGAGCCCCCACCAGAACCCCACCATGCTGGCACCTTGATCTCAGACTTCCAGTCTCCAAAACTGGGAGAGATAAATTTCTGTGGTTTAAACCACCCCATCTGTGGTACTTTGTTAGGGCAGCCTGCACTGACTGAGACACAGGGTAAACCCCTATTTAACTCCATCCTTCCCCTCAAGGCGAGCAAGCTTGTCCCTCAGGTCACCTTCCTCCCGCTGCTAAAAATAATCCCACCTTAGCCAGGCCCAAGTGATCTTCACTTCTTTCCTTCCTTCCTTCCTTCTACAGATCATGGGACTAAGCTTCTGACTTCTGGAAGTCAGGGAGAAGATACAGAAACCAAACCTATGTTTCTGCACACACCGGGCATGGGACATCCTCTCTTTCAAAGACCAACTAGAAAAATCTGACGGCTCCAGGATGGTTTGCACCAACATCATTCCAGGGAGAGGTGTTCTGTCTGCTTCTTTCCAACTGTGATTGGCCTTGTCCAACATTCTCTCTCCAACATGCGCGCTGTGTCTGGTTTTTATAAATATCCTCCGGAAGGAGGTGAAAAGGTCATCCTGACTCACATCAGCAAAAGTAAGAGGGCATTGGTGGAGCTTGTCTCCATCAATGATATATTTTAGAAATCTCCTAGCAACAACAAGCCTCTTTGTTATTGAAATGTTTTTGAAACATGAAGACACAAAAAATACACAAAGTCTGGGTACACCCAGACACCCAAAACTCTTGCACTCGGCAACGCAGTTATATTTTGCTGAAGTTAATGTGGTAAGGGTCAGGAGGGCAGACAGGACAGGGGCCAAACAGAGGTGCAATTTCCACACAAACTTCACCTCTGCCTGTCCCTAAATACCCCATTTCCACTCCACCTGGAGATTTCAGCTGTGAACTATGCAAGGGTGAGAAGGTTTGGTTTTCCCAAGCTTTGCCAAGGTCAAAAGCATTATGAAGAACGTTACTGTAATTAAACATCATGAAAGCATCATGGAGGATGCTGTTGTAATTAAACCAACAGTTCTCATCTCCCCCACATGCTGCAGTGGAACCTAAGTGTATTTATAAAAAAAAAAAAAAAAAAAAAAAAAAGCTGGGGGAGTTGTGTAAAGGAGGAGGTTCAGAAAAGAGAGGAGAATTCCGGAGGAGAGTTAAGTACTAAGGAATGGGGGTGGGTGTAGCCCAGTCCAGCGGCCCTCCAAGGAAAGAAAGGAGCAGGCTTTCTGAAGAGATGGGGAGCCTGGGGGAAAGATAAAAAAGAAAAAAACAAAAAAAAAACAAAAACAGTAGATTGGATCATCAGATGTTTCCTGAATGTACTCAGGAGGAGACCAAAGAGAAGGTGTAATTTCACATAGGCAGGAACATTTGCTGCATTCTTCCAGACAGAACCCAAGGGACACGGGGCCCCATGGGCTATGTCCTGCTGTCCACACAGGCTTTAAGAGTGTCCAGACAGGACATTCAGAGATGGCATTTCTCAGGTCAGAACCACTAAGAATTGCTGTTGTGTTGTGTAACAAGAAAGGTGAAAACAGGGCAAAGAATTCGGCCGGGCGCGGTGGTTCACGCATGTAATCCCAGCACTTTGGGAGGCCGAGGCGGGCGGATCACCTGAGGTCCGGAGTTTGAGATCAGCCTGATCAACATGCAGAAACCCCGTCCCTACTACAAATACAAAATTAGCCGGGCGTGGTAGCTACACGCCTGTAATCCCAGCTACTTGGGAGGCTGAGGCAGGAGAATCGCTTGAACCCGGGAGGCGGAGGTTGCGGTGAGCTGAGATCGCGCCATTGCACTCCAGCCTGGGCAACAGAATGAAACTCTGTCTCAAAAAAAAAAAAAAAAAAAATTCAAGGGCACAGACTGCGCCCTGCTGGCTCTACACCTATAGCATCTCGTCCTGCCCTTCCCGAGTCTGTGGCTCTTGGGAGTCTCATTCCCTCCTTTCCAGGGTGTGCTTCCCCCGTGGGTGGTCTCACGATGCAGTGTACACCCCGCATCGCGGAGTCCTCCAGTAGCTTCCCCTGTCCAGTCTCCTCCACCTTCTGCTTCCGCTCAAGACCTTCAGGAGTTCATACTTCCTGCCCTCTTCCCCATTCTAATTTTTTAAACCATGCTATGCAAACTATGCAAGGTCCCTTGTTTCTGCCTCAAAGACACGCCCCAGTTAAACATGGAGAGCACTCAGGGAATTCACTCTGCCTGCCTTTTGTGCCTGGAGTGAGTTATCCTCTGCTACTGTCCTAACCCATGGTAAATCCACCCACTAATCCGTGGAGAGGCTGGTGCCTACCTGCTTCCCTTATCCCAGACCCATCTCTTTGCCTCCGAAGATGACTTACTGGCCAGTTAGTTACACCATTCTTTAACATTCTTTAACCTTAGACATGGAGAGCATTGGTGGATATAATTACACTTGATAGTTCTTGCCACAATATCGTCTTTGGTCCTTATGGGGGCCCTTTTCTTGTCTATTTGTTTTATCTATCCCCTTTGTTCCCATTTATAATCCTCATTAACTGCCCCCCCCACAAGTAATTATTCTAATGTATTTAACGTCCATCTTTTTGTATGTTTTCTTACGTAATGTTTATTGCTCTTTGGTGTATGTGTATTTTTAGTTTGTGGAAATGATTTATGTTGCACATTTTTTCTGTTTTTTAATCAGCATTATGTTTTTTAAGAAAATCCACATTGCTATTGTATATTGAACCCATTGCTTCTTGTTACTGCAGAGTATTTCCATAGATGATGTATATCTACCATGTTTCACTTAGGAACTCTCCTGGTACTGCAACTCTCCATCAACATAATAATATATCAACATATTAATATGAACATCCTTATATGTTTCTCCCTACAGACCAGCGTGAAAACTCTTTGGGATATGCATCTAGTTATGAAATAGCGGGGTCACAGTTTATGCAGGTATTTAATTTACCTGAGTAGTACCAGATTACTCATGAAAATGGCTACATGTCAGTACTAGACTCTTACCCACAGTGCATGAGGAGCCCTAGATAAGACAAACCCCTTTCTCCACCGTCAATTGACACTACCCCGCTTTCTAATTGTTTCCTGTCTAAATTGGTATAAAGTGAATTCTAATTTGCATTTCTCTGGTTATTCCTATATATAAGCATTCCTTTATATTTATTGTCTTTTGGATTCTCTTTTTTCTAAAATGCCTGTTCATACCTTTTGTTCATTTTTCTATTAGAGCTACTTTTCAGGCTTTCTTTGAATATTCTACTTACTAACCCTTTGTCAGATTTAAACATTGCAAATAATCTTCTTCCACTCTGACATTTCTCTATGAATTTTGTCTATAATATCCTTCCATGAAATAAAATTCTTAATTATGATGTAAACAAATTTATCAATTTTTTTGCCTTCTGGTTTGTACTTCTGGAATTTTATTTAAGAAGTCCTTTCTTACCTTTCTGCTGAAGACATTCTCCTAATATTTTCTTTTATTAACTTTATAGCTTTAGTTCTTACCATCAGCAGACCTGTTCTCTAGAGTAAGCTTTTGATCTATCTGGAGGTAGAGTCTACTTTTGCATGCTGTGTAAGGTGGGGATCTCATTTTTACCTTTTCTGTGCAGAGCTTTTCTGGCAGTCATTCAAGCAATTTCCCAGTAATGTGTGGTGTCTCATCATTGTTTCTAATATGCTTGGGTCTGTCTTTGAGCTTCCTATCGTGTTCCATTGGTCTATATATATGTTAATGCATATGATTTGTATTACTATGGCTTTGTTGCAAGTTTTAATATCTCGATAAATTCCCCTTTTATTTTTGTTTTCTTTTTAAAATTGACTTACCAACCGGGCGCAGTGGCTCACGCCTGTAATCCCAGCACTTTGGGAGGCCGAGGCGGGCGGATCACCTGAGGTCGGGAGTTCGAGACCTGCCTTGACCAACATGGAGAAACCCCGTCTCTACTAAAAACACAAAAATTAGCCAGGCGTGGTGGCGCATGCCTGTAATCCCAGCTACTCAAGAGGTTTAGGCAAGAGAATCGCTTGAACCCGGGAGGCGGAGGTTGCGGTGAGCCAAGATCACGCCATTGCATTCCAGCCTGGGCAACAAAAGCGAAACTCCGTTTCAAAACAAACAAACAGAAAATTGACTTACCTATTTGTCAATCTTTATTCCTTCCAAAATTTCTGTAGTTCTTGGGGAAAAAAAATCCAACTAGAATTTTGATTTGAGAGTGCATTGAGATGATAAACTAATTTGGGAAGAGCTGCAATCTTTATAACATTGAATTATTCATCCAAGGACACAATATTTATTGATATCATGTTCTATGCCTCCTATAAAAGTTTTAAAATATTTTTCCAGAGAAGTCCGATATAATCTTGATCAAAGAAATTCCTAAATATTATATAGTTTTTGTTACTATTAGGGAAGTTATTTTTTATTATATATTCTGGATAATTTTATTGTAAAAAGAGCAGTATGGCAGAGCAGGAACTGAAATTTTCATTTTGTCTAAGTTAATTATTCCTTCCCGCTAACAAGAGAAGAAGGTCTTCCTGAGCTGAGCTCTGCCAGGAGAAGAAAAGTTGACTTTTCTCCCTGCCTTTCCCCTTCCTTCAGTCAGTGATCCCCACCTAACCTTCAATGTTTAAAACCATTCCTGGCCGGGCGCGGTGACTCACGGCTGTAATCCCAGCACTTTCGGAGGCCGAGACAGGCGGATCACCTGAGGTCGTGAGTTCGAAACCAGCCTGACCAACATGGAGAAACCCCCATCTCTACTAAAAATACAAAAAATTAGCCAGGCATGGTGGTGCATGCCTGTAATCCCAGCTACTCGGGAGGCTGAGGCAGGAGAATCGCTTGAACCTGGGAGGCAGAAGTTGCAATGAGCAAGATCACGCCATTGCACTCCAGCCTGGGCAACAAGAGTGAGACTCCGTCTCAAAAACAAACACAAAAACAAAACAAAACAACAACATAAAACCATTCCTGATTGAGAACCGTTAGGTTAGAAACATAACATCAAACTGTAAAATTTACAGTGACATTCAGCTGGATTTTAAAAACCAACTCCTTCATTCATATTTCTCACTCTCACTTCGATTTCCCCCCTTTTATTCCATAGTCCTTTTTACTAAGTCTCAGTGCATGGAGTACCCTCTCCTTCCCTCTGCAAATTCCACCCCTCTTAACCAGGAAAGGAGTTCTGCACCTTGGATTCCCACTTGCTTCTTACAAATGCCTCAACTTTGGTGGGACTGAGTGGAGGTTTGAGGCATGAGCAGAGTAGGGATGAGCTCCAGTTCTGTAAATGAAAACAACATTGGGTGCCCAATTCCAATTTAATATCTTAATTTACTCTAAGAGCACTCTGGCTAACTCCCAACTGGTTTATTTGGAAATTGCAAAGAACACCTTGCCAAGTCAAGCATTAATTTCCCTTGGAAACACCACAATGTAATCTCATGTGAAGAAAGAATATCCCTAGAGTCTCTGTGACTTTGACCATCCCCCTTCATGAGCTGTGGCATGATAGTATGACGGAGCTGTTTACTCTTTCCTGGGCCTGATACAACCTGTGACAGTCATCACACTAGCTATAAGTGACTCTCTTTCTGCCATCTCCAGCTCTCATTAAGTTTTTTTCTGGTTTGTTTTGTATAGATGCCAGAGTCTTTGAATAGATAGGGTGAGTGTGAAGAAGCAAGGACAGTTTATCCTACCAGAATCCCTTTCCTGACCCTTGGATCACAATTGAAACTTGTGATTGTCTTAGTCCATTTTCTGCTGCTATAAAAATATACCACAAACTGCATAATTTACAAAGAAAATAGATTTATTTCTCAGAGTTCTTAAGACTGGTAAGTCCAAGAGCATGGTGCTGACATCTGGTAGGGATCATTCTATTGTGAAAAGCATCACATGATGAACAAGCATATGAGATGGGAGAGAGGAAATCAGGCCAAGCTCATCCTTTTCTCGGGAGCCACTCCCACAATAACTAACCCAGTCTTATGATACCTGCACCAACCCACTGATGAAGACAGAGCCCTCATGAGCGAATCACCTCTTAGAGACCTCACCTCCCAATAATGTTACATTGACAACTAAATTTCAACAAGAGTTTTGACAGGGACATTCAAACCACAGCAGTGATCCAAACCTTTCTTTCTCCGTGCCAGTCCAAGATCAACCTAAAAAAAGACTACCTGTCCTGTAGATACATTTCGTTGGGTTTAGAGAGCTGGTGGTGGGAGTACAAACCACTGCACAGTCCGAGTTATCAAAATGAGGTTTAGTTGTAGGGGAAGTGGATTGTTGACAGTCTTATCAAATTCCCAGGCATTTGCCTGTAAAATGAGATCACTCTAAACCTGGAGAACATTTCACTTGCAGAAGACATTACTCCCCCATTCATTTGTAACTATTTTGTGTCCTGTGCCTTCTATTGGAACTTTTCTCCCTGCCTTTCCCCTTCCTTCAATCAGTGATTCCCACCTAACCTGCAATATTCAAAACCATTCCTGATTGAGAACCACTGTTAGAAACACAACATCAAACTGTAAAATTTACAGTGACATTCAGCTGGATTTTAAAAACCAACTCCTTCAGGGCCCTTTCTATGTCCCTGTTTTCACAACAGAATTTATCACTTTCTTCCCTAAATCTCTGTGTGGTGTTCCTGGGCAAACACATCCATCATACCCAATTAGGCAAAAACAGACAAGAAAATCCAATTCTCTCCTCTTTCCTTCCTCCTTTATACTGAACTGCGACTAAAAGCAGCACTCACTATTAGTGATACTAATTTGGTACTTAATTATCCTCAGGCTTCTGTCTTCCCCTAAATCTGTTCACCCTTTACCTCTGCACTTTGTCACCAATAACTGACTAGAAGCTCCATATGAAAGACCCGTACCTGGGCCAGGCGCAGCGGCTCACGCCTGTAATCCCAGCACTTTGGGAGGCCGAGGCAGGTGGATCACCTGAGGTCGGGAGTTCGAGACCAGCCTGACCAACATGGAGAAACCCCATCTCTACTAAAAATACAAAATTAGCCGGGCATGGCGGTGCATGCCTGTAATCCCAGCTACTCAGAAGGCTGAGGCAGGGGAATCACTTGAACCTGGAGGCGGAGGTTGCGGTGAGCCGAGATCGTGCCACTGCACTCCAGCCTGGGCAACAAGGGCAAAATTCCGTCTAAAAAAAAAAAAAAAAAAGAAAAAAAGAAAGACTCATACCTGCTCGATTCCTCCTGGTCTCTCCCGACACAGTGGTACAGACTTAATAGCTCTCAGTACCTATTGGGGTGAACTAACTAGCTGACTCCACTTCTGACACTTCCATACAGATCTGGGGAGTGACGGCAAACCTCCACTTCAAACCTGGTTTCTTGAGCAAGCCATTTTATTTATGGACAGGACACCAGGGGCACAGTGAGTGTTTACATGTGTATTTTAAGTCAGCATGACTGTGCGATTCCTGTATCTCCTGGGTGTTGCCTTTTCTCTTTAAAGACGGCATTCCTGCTTCACATTTTACTGTCACGTAAGACATACTCTAGCCTCTATAATGGGTGCCGAGAAGTGGATATTGTAGCCCCAAGGGTTTTTAAGCCCCCTGATGAACACATCATTACGCATTCACAACGGTAAAGTGCATTGTTAGGTTTTCAGCAGCCTGCAAGAGAGACCCTGCTGAGCAGGATGGAGAAAGTTGCGGCAATTAATTGGTAGAGTTGAATTGTTAACATTCTCTCAGTGTTCCCAGCACAGGGCTCTTGACTGGCTTGCTGGAGAAAATAACTGGGGGTGGGAGAGAATGAAGGGTGGAGTAGAGGAGAAACAAACTCTCATTAAAACCCCAATCAAGCCATTTTAGCACTTTTTTTTTTTCCACAAGGCATTTCCTTTGAATCTAGAATGCTATACTTGTTGAACGCTATTATCATAACAAATCGCTGCTCTTTCCTAAAACTTGAAATTATTTGCTTTCCTTGGGAGATTTTTGTGTAGGGTGTGTATTGGGAAGCTCATATGCTGGATTCCCAAGAGGATATATGTTTGCACTACAGTCTCTGACAATATGCAATTCTGTACAGGTACACACATATGTAGGTATATTGTGATACCAAGACAAGTGTGCTATAACAGAACAGGGACTCCTATCATAACATGTTCCAAGTTGTGTCCATTTCTTTCTCCTCTTTGGAGTATTGGGCTGAAAGAGAAATGGGTATTTCTCAAAAATGATCTGGCGAGTGCCCAGAAAACCTTTTCGCATATAAAGGTTGCTGTCATAGTGGACGCTGGTGACAGTGCGTGCACAGGTCTTCTTTCCAGAGCTCCCTTCCACTCCTGCCTTGGTCACAGGGAGCTCCCGGTAGCCATGCCTGTTCAACACGGCCCCATACTCCGAGCCATGTTGACTGGGACCAGAGTGAGCACCAGACGCGTGCCAGACCAGTGAGAATCTCAAATTCCAGACCCCAGGACTTTGGAATAGCAAGAGGTAGACACTAAGGTGTGTGTTTTCTATCAGATAGACTGAGGGGCAGATAAAGTCATCCAGCTAAGAGAAGAAAGGAGAATAATACAAAAACAGATAGAAAAGGGAGATGGAGAGAGAGTGCTGCCTACGTGCCCAATGGAGCATCCTGTCTCTAGGGCTGACCTGTCCAGCTGACGTCCGCATTCATGGATTAAGGACCTTTCCGCTGATGTTCAGGAATGAAAAAGAAAAGCCAGGAAAGAAAATCCCCACTGAGAATCCTAAGAAGTAAATCTTCATCTTGAAGAGAAACATTCCTATGCCTCCTACATTATTTCTACCTCCTCCAGCAGCAAATTTCTAGCAACAAAACGTATCATCAAACACATCTTATTCAGGGACAAGTGTCAGTGTGTTGTTGTCATGATTAAATTTGACTCATAGGTACTCAAAGATTTCATGTGCTATATATTTATCTACTTCTGTTATTGAGAAACTTGGAGGAAAAGACTAACTCTGTGTACAAACTCAATGCATCCCTAAATATCGATATTTTGTAGAGGTGGGGTAATTTTTACGGCATTGAAAGAACTGCCTACCCCCAAACATCCCCTACCCTTCCTAGTCAATGTGTTGCTATTTATAAATTCCATTGTTATAGTCATTCTTCTATATTAATGAGTCCTGTCCTCTGTTTTCAAAAATTTTCTTTTAAGACGTAAATATCATGTAGAAGATTTTACACACTAAACCCGTAACACAATAGCATGAATTCACTCATCAGATTAGTTAGTTGGTATTTTAAAAGCCTGAGGATCAAGGTTAACAGATGGTAATCTTTAATGGGCAAGAAAACAGATTTCTCTCACGTTGGAGAGAATTACTGGGTCTCTGTGTATGTGTGAGGGTCTATTGGTGCCGCATAGTGAACACGACCCTATTCCTCCCTCAAGAAGCTCAAAGTTAAGTGGAACTGGGGCAGCCAGATGTATAATAACTGCAATACCTTGCAGTATCTGCACTAATTGAGCTGTGTACTTGATACAGTAGTAGCATGTGGATGGCACAAGGGGAAGGGTATGGAGTTTCATAGATGAGATGCAGCTTAAGCTGGGCCTTGAGCATGGGGAAAAGTCCATGAAGTGGATGTTCCTTCCAGGCAGAGACACCAGCCTGGGCACACAGGTGGCACGCTAAGGGGAACTGCAATATAGGATTTGATGTGGCTTTCCATCAAACAGAAGGAAGGAGGGCCTGGAAGGATTGAATTAAATTGTTATTGGGACTGGATCATAAAGGCCTTGCTATGGTTTGAATGTTTGTCTTCTCTGAAACTCATATTGAAACTTAATCCTCAATGTAACAGTATTAAGAGGCGGGGACTTTAAGAGATGATTGGATCATGAGACCTCCCAATCTTGGACTTCCCAGACTCTAGGACTGTAAGAAATAAACCTCTTTGCTTTAGAAATTACACAGTCTCAAGCATTCTGTGATAGCAACAGAAAATGAACTAAGACATGCTCTTGACACATATCAAGATATTATATTTTTTAAAAAATACAATCCTTGGAAGCTTTGCTAACTCTAACAGGCTACCTGCTGGCCAAGATCAAATACACAGAGCCAATAGGAACTACCAAGGAGGTTGCTTCTGAATTCTCACAAACAGTGTAAGCAGAGGCCTGCCCAAGGGAAAACCAATATGGCTCTTTCTCTCAGCCTTTCTGAGACCTGGCCCCTGAGCCCCAGGGTGACAAATGCTTTCTCAAGAGTATTCCTTTCTTTTATTTTGTTTTGATGATTTACAGGGCTTATCAAAAATGTGCATGACTTCCTATTTACAACACTTGTAACCCTATCTCCAAAACAGACTGACATTTAGATAGTTTTAAGATTAATACTTAAAGATTTCTCTGCATTTAAACTCTACTGATTAACTCATTCAGGCATGCTAAGGTCCACCTGTGTGCAATGCTATCTATGCCTATGTCTCGAAACATAGCAAAATTTATGTTAGTTAAGGTAAAAAGCTCCCTGGTTTTGCTCATAATCAAAGGATCATTTAGGGCCATTCCAAATCAATCTCTGTCATGCATTTTTAAAAAAGAAAAAAAATCAAAGGATTTTTTTTTAAAGCAAGGGACACCATAAACAAAGCGAACAAACAACATATTGGAAGAAGATATCTGCAATGTGAAAACTGACAAGGGACTACGATCTAGAATACATACAAGGAACTCCTGCCAGCCTACAAGATTGGGGCAGCCATTCTGGAAAGAATCTGGCAGCACTCAGCCAACATAAGGATGGACGTATGCTATGACCCAGCAATCCTGTCCCTGAGACACAGGGCATCCCTGTATGCCGCTAATTCCTAGGGATTCTCCCATAAGTCAAGGGGAACATGTATAAGGATGTTCATGGCAGCACTTGTGTAATGGGGAGTTGGAGGCAGTCCAGGGCCTCATCACTGCAGAAGCAGATGAGACAGCAGAGGAGCACAGGCTGGAGTACTATACAGCAGCGAGAAGACACCACCTCCTCCCCACACGTAGCAACACACATCACGACAACATGCCGGGCAGAAAAAGTGAGAAGCAGAAGGAGGTTGTTTGTGTACCATATTCGTAAATGCAAAACACGTTTACAATACATCTTACAAGAATACAGGCAAATAAAATACTACAAACAAACGTGTTAAACTGGTTACCTACAAAGAGGACAAAAATAGAGGTGGGGATGAGAATAAAAGCAAAGCCTGAAAACAAAGGAGGGCCTTGAAGAAATCAAAGGTTAGAGTGTGCTGTGGCCTGGACTTCTGCATCTGAGGGTTAAAAACAAACACAACAGGGACAGGGAAGCCACTAGCCATAAGGTCCTTGAGGGGAGGGTGCAATGAGCTCCTCTCTAAATCCCTAACAGGACCCAGTACTCTGTCCCATCTTTAGGCAACGCCTACTTTTTGAACAATGGATATTTGATTGGTCAATATTTAACAAATGCATGAATAAGAGGAACAATTAATCTAACAGAGGGTGGCCAGGACACATGGAGTCATTCTCCATAAACAAATCATCACAGATGCCCTCTTGGGTGCCAGGCACCGTGATAGATCCTGGGAGTGAAATGAGGGATGAGAGACAGTCTCTTTCCTCTTGGATGTAGGCTGAGGAAGTGCAATGGCTGAGTCAAGTGGCAATTATGACACACACTGTTGACGGCAGTGACACAGATAAGAACAGGGCGCCCAGAGACCCTGACGTGGGGCTCCTAACCTGACTGTTCAGGAAGAGCATCCCAGAAGAAACTGATGCCCAAAAGATAAGAAGTTACACAAGTAAGGAGGAGGGAGGGAATGGAGCATAAGAGGCAAGAAAAACTGCATGTGCAGTGGAGCCTGGGTCTGAATGTCGCTGTCGTAGCTCTGACACCTGCTGCAGGCGGGCCCATCTTCCCAGCCTTCGATACAACATAGCGGTTACTTTAACAGGTGGAGCCATACCACATTCTTAGTGTTCTCAAGCCGACTTTATCAAACAAAAACTGCTCCCTGGGTAAGGGAAAAAGAAACAAAAAGAGCTCTTTTTCAGAGCAAGCAAATGTGCACATCCAAGTAGATAGATGGTGCCTAGAGCAGTGTAACAGAAGTCAAGTACTTACCATTGTCCTGCAAAATCATTTCAATGCAACTTGAGAGCAATATAGCAATCTGAAAGGAAAGGCTTTTAGCCAGCCGAGCTGGTTCAGGTTTCCAGTTTTCCTTTGATCCCATGATTCTAATTCTTGTTGTTTATCAGCACGGATGCTCACAGCTGATACACTTGACAAGTCTCTCTGGAAAACGTTATCACGTGTGTAGAGCTTTGGGTTCGAACTGGCTTGATGAACTGAAACTAAATCATTAGAAATGCCAGTGCTGGCCGAGCGCAGTGGCTCATGCCCGTAATCCCAACACTTTGGAAGGCCGTGGCAGGCTGACCATTCAGGAGATGGAGACCATCTTGCTTAATATGGTGCAAGCCCATCTCTACTAAAAATGTGTCCAGAATTGGTGGGTTCTTAGTCTCACTGACTTCTAGAATGAAGCCGCGGACCCTCGCAGTGAGCGTTACAGTTCTTAAAGGCGGCGTGTCCAGAGTTTGTTCCTTCTGACGTTCGGATGTGTTCGGAGTTTCTTTCTTTAGGCGGGTTCGTGGTCTCGCGGGATCAGGAGTGAAGCTGCAGACCTTCACGGTGAGTGTTACAGCTTTTAAAGTGGCGCGTCTGGAGTTGCTCATTTCTCACGGTGGGTTACATAATCTACACTGGCCTAAGAAGTGAAGTTGCAGACCTTTGCAGTGCGTGTTACAGCTCATAAACCGCAGTGTGGACCCAAACAACGAGCAGCAGCAAGATTTCTTAAAAAGAGCAATAGAAGAAAGCTACACTGTGGAAACACCTGCGAGCAGGTTGCCACTTCTGGCGCTGGCAGCCTGCTTTTATTGTCTTACCTGGCCCCACCCACATCTTGCTGATTGGTCCATTTTACAGATAGCTGATTGGTCCATTTTGACAGGGTGCTGATTGGTGCATTTATAATCCCTGAGCTAGACACAAAAGTTCTCCATGTCCCTCCCCTCCATGTCCCCACTAGATTAGCTAGATACAGAGTGTCGATTGGTGTATTTACAAACCCTGAGCTAGACACAGAGTGCTGATTGGTGCATTTACAAACCTTGAGCTAGACACAGAGTGCTGATTGGTGCATTTACAAACCTTGAGCCAGACACAGAGTGTCGATTGGTGCATTCACAATCCCTTAGCTAGACATAAAGATTCTCCAAGTCCCCGCCAGACTCAGGAACCCATCTGGCTTCACCCAGTGGATCCCACACCTGGGCCGCAGGTGGAGCTGCCTGCTAGTCCCGCGCCGTGCGCCCGCACTCTTCGGCCCTTGGGTGGTCGATGGGACTGGGCGCCGTGGAGCAGGGGGCGGCGCTCGTCGGGGAGGCTCTGGCTGTGCAGGAGCCCAGGGAGGTGTGCGGGGGGAGGCTCAGGCATGGCGGGCTGCAGGTCCCGAGCCCTGCCCCACGGGGAGGCAGCTAAGGCTCCGCGAGAAATCGAGCACAACAGCTGCTGGCCCAGGTGCTAAGCCCCTCACTACCCGGGGCTTGCGGGCCGGCCGGCTTGCCGTTCCGAGTGCGGGGCCACTGAGTCCACGCCCACCCGGAACTCGCGCCGGCCGGCAAGCACCTGGCGCAGCGTCGGTTCCTGCCCGCGCCTGTCCCTCCACACCTCCCTGCAAGCTCCTGCCTTGGCCAGCCCACAAAGGGGCTCCCACAGTGCAGCGGTGGGCTGAAGGGCTCCTCAAGCGCGGCCAGAGTAGGCGCCAAGGCCGAGGAGGCGCGGAGAGCGAGGGAGGGCTGCAAGGGCTGCCGGCACGCTGTCACCTCTCAAAAATACAAAAAAAAAAAATTAACCGGGCGTGGTGGCGGGCGCCTGCAGTCCCAACTAATCGGGAGGCCGAGGCAGGAGAATGGCGTGAACCCAGGATACGGAGCTTGCAGTGAGCCGAGATCGCGCCACTGCACTCCAGCCTGGGCGACAGAGAGAGACTCCGTCTCAAAAAAACAAAAAAAGGAAACAAAAGAAAAAAGAAATGCCAGTGCTAGAAAGAATGCACAAGATCATCTATTTCAGGCGGTCTCAAACTTGAGCCTGCAACAGCATTCCCTAAAGGGCTGGTTAAAACTACACAGATAGCTAGACCTCACCCAGCGTGGCCCATTCAGTAGGTCTCTGTTGGGGTTTAAGAATCTTGCATTTCTAACAACTTCCCTGAGAATGCTGTTCCAGGGACCACACTTTGAGAACTACTCTAATTTTATTGATGAAGATATTGAAACCCAGAGCATGTTAGTGATTCATGTAAGATCGCACACATTCTAGGTGACCAAACCCAAGTCTTAGGAGAATGTGGTGGTTGGGAAATAAAAAGCTATGAAGATTTTTTAACTAAAGCCCTTGGTATTAGTGCATCTTATCTGGTTTTTACAACTATCTGCCTTCTCTTTCCACCCAAGCCTGAGAAGTACTGCCAATTATGGTGTGGGGTTGTGACAGCAGCAGAGGAGGTGGGGGCGGGTACGGAGCATCCACAAAGCCCTGGATGTTCTTGCCGGTCTTAACACCCTATCTCCAAGCTCTCTGCACAGTTTTCAGGGCATAAGTCAGAACTGTGAGAACTAGCAAGGACTCAGCGAGAGCTTCTTACCCGTGCTTCACGACACATTAAAAGGCAAAAACGTGTTCCTGCAGATCAACCCGGAAGAGCCTGCTGCTTACCGGTTGGCGCCCAGTACCTACACGGCAATAGCTGCTGCAGCCTGACAAATTCGTTGAAACTCTCTGAAACACAAAGGAATCACCGCCAGCCTCCCTCTCCCATTGTAACCCTGCCATTGTGCAGGTTGTAGTCTGGGAGAATGATGGCCACAGCAATTGTAGGACTTTCAATGCTTTAAACAAATGGGGGAAGGGAGGAGAACTAAACAAAACTAAACAAAAGCAACCACAGGCCTGTTTACCAGAGAGAAGTCTTAATGGGTTGCAAGAGAAAGAGCAGGAAGTCTGTGCTTTCACTCTCATTTGTCTGCTCAGTGGTGAAGAGCCTGGAATGGACAAAGATTTGGGCTTGCCACCCTTGTTTTGTTGTTCAACCCTCCCTCTTTTTTATGAGGAATTTGATGGAGGAAGCCAAGTAAGTCATCAGTGGGGGCCCTTGCCATCATCAATGTCAGTTATTGAGTTGAGGGCGCATTGTTTAGGCATTAAGAATTCAGATGCCAAGTTTCTCTATTTATCATATCTAGGGCCCTGAAAGCTATGGACGACTCACACTATTAACTGATATTTGTTGTTTAGAGCAATCTAATCCTTACAAGATACTTTTTGGATGGACTGTCTCATGATGTATTATTACAAAAATGGAAATGCTTTGCAAGAAGCATAATTCTGAATGCCACCAAAAAATAGCGATAATCTTTCTGCCCATTGAACAGTTTTGTTCAATGAAGTGTCACAATTACACCACAGCTGTTAAACAAGTTGTGTTACTAGTTCTAGATTTGCTTCCATTCTCTTTAGAGCTACATAGGTATGTGATTTTTTTTCTCCTCTGGAGATTTTTGATCATGGTGTGACTTAAAGGGAGGGTTTATGCATTTTATTCCAATGAATCCCAGTTTTAGTTAACTAGCTGGTAGTTGAACAAGTCATATAATAACAATTTTCTTTCATCTTAATGCAGATTTTAAATAAAATATTCATAGCCTTTTTTTTTTAAATATATACAGAGGTTCACTCTGTCACCCAAGCTGGAGCGCAGTGGCACTATCAGAGCTCACTGCAGCTCAACCTCCCATGCCAAAACAATCCTCCCACTTCAACCTCCTGAGTAGCTGGAACTACCAGCATGCACCACCACACATGCCTAATTTTTCTTTTTAATTTTTTGTAGAGACAGGGTCTCACTATGTTGCCCAGGCTGCTCTCAAACTCCTGGGCTCAAGCGATCCTCCCAAAGTGCTGGGGTTATAGGCGTGATACACCATGCCCAACCCACATAGCATATTATTTAAAACAATTATCTACTTAATTTTGAGAGCAAGTTACTAACAGACAATCATAGCCATCTGACCACCAGCCTGAGCTACAGCTCATCTGACCTCCTATGGCCACAACTGAAAAGGCTGAAGGAATCAGCCAGAACTCCATCTACTCAACCCACAAAGGTCTTGTTTAGAAAGGTGTTACAAGCTAGGGCTTCCAAGGTTGGGAAGCGCAAATTCTCTTTACGTTGCCTTTAATTTTTTCTTAATAACCTAGTTCAGATTTTTGAAAAGTAGAGGCTCCCAGAACAGCAGAACACACCATGCTGAGCTAGCACCTCATGCTGTGCTATAAAGAGAGTTAACACCTCCCTCCAAAACTAAGTCCACTCTTGTGGTTTGCATTATTTCCCCTGCCCTCCCCACACCCAACTCCACACAGGTGCAACTCTGATGTAGTTTTAGGGTTCCCAGAGTCATCACCTCACCATCTAAGACTTGTGTTAAAATGCTCCCTGTAAAATTCTTTACACGTTGGTTTTTTAATTGCAGAAATGCCTGATTTACTCCCAAAGAATGTTTGAAGATCCTCAGGGCTGTGCAAAGATCCATCATTATCAACAATTGCTAAGGCAGCTTAACCCTTATGTAAAATATTATGCATACAAATGGCTTTATTTTGAACCAGTTCACACTATTAAAACTTGAGTCTGGTACAGGCTTCATCCCAAGGCTGTGCTCAATAACAGCACAGTAGCAAACACCTTGGCTATGTGTCTTCCTGTTTGGTTGGCTCATTTTATATCTTTGCACGTTTAAAAAGGCAATGGGAGTGCTAATTAAAATGCAATCATGCAGATAAATTATATCATGTTCCTAAAAGGTAAAATGAAAACCCTTTTTATTTCAAAATCCTTGTGATACCCAAGGCAAAACACACAGTGATCCTGAAAACAGAGAAAACCTTTCATGATTATTGCATGTTTAAAACCCAGATTTATTTCTAGATTTGTTTGCATATTGTTTATGGAATGTATAACACTTTAATTGTGAGTAATTTCTTGGGAGAGTCAAGACTTAGGGCTTTTAGTGCAAATGTTCAAGTTTCGGTAACTCTGAGTAATTTGTATTTTCTGCATTCTAGCTGTCAAATGGGGAGTACAATGCGTATCTTAAAGCCTACTCCAGTTCAGGGGTGAGGACAACCTCAAAACCCATGGTCAAGTTTCACTCAGCAGATTCTTTATTGTACCTACAGCTTACCAGCTCTCAGGGGAACTCTCCTGCCAGCAACCAAAGATCAAAGCCATCATGCTGACATCCAGCAAACTGTTTTATCTCTCTGAGCCTCAGTTTCTTTCCCTGTAAAATAAGCCTCAGTAAGGCATTGCTGACTGCTTTGGGGATTAGAGGCCCATTTGAGAATTTGCTGAAAGCCATTTACACTGTTCCCCTAGAAACAGCAGACGGGCACATCCTCACAAAACTGAGCACATGAATCCACTGATCCTCTGATGCACATCCAGGGACCTCAAGTTAGAACTCCAGGTCCCTTCCAGCACAGACATTCCATGTCTTCACCCAAGACCCAGTTCTCAGCTCTAGCCTGCCCCCTTTACTCACATTGCAAAATTGATCTTTGCAAAAAAAAATAAATAAAAGCATATAAAAATGAGTCAATGTGAGGATGTTCTGCTGTGGATACCATTTACAGCCCAGGATAACACGAAACCATATAAGCAACACAACTAATTTGGAATCATTGAAAGTATGAGACAGTCAAAGAGTAGTTTACCCACTCCCTCCTTTTAAAAGCCATGTACTTCGTTGTAAGCCTTCACTTCAAGGTCACTGTCTCTCCCATAGATTTTTACTACCTTACAGTTTCCAGTCCCAGGCTCAGATATGCTCATAACCTACTTTGGTGTTTGGAGGAGGAAACCTGTTTGAAGCGCTTAGTTTTTACCTTTCAGCTTTGATCTACATCCCTGCAGAAGTTCTAAAGTGTCACCCTGAACTCTCCTTCCCCCTCTCTCCAGGTCAGTTCTAGGACAGCATTTCTCATGGAATGTACCACAAAACAGTGTGATCCGTGGCCAAATGGATCTGGGAAATTCTGTACCTTGGAGATTCCCAAAGCATTTTATCATATTAAAGGTTCTGAGAAGGCCTTCATAAAGAAACCAATTTAACTTTGTTTTACTCAATGTTATAAAAACCGACGTGGGTCAGGCGCTGTGCTCATGCCTATAATCCCAGCACTTTGCGGGGCCAATGTGGGCGGATTCCCTGAGCTCAGGAGTTCGAGACTAGCCTGGGCAACATGAAGAAACCCTGTATCTACAAAAACTACAAGACAAATTAGTCAGGCTTGGTGGTGTATGCCTGTGGTCCCAGCTACTTGGGAGGCTGAGGTGGAAGGATCACTAGAGCCTGTGAGGTGGAGGTTGCAGTGAGCTGAGATGGTGCCATTGCACTCCAGCCTGGGTGACAGAGCAGAACCCCATCAAAAAAAAAAAAAAAAAAAAAAAAAAAAAAAAAACCTATGTGATCATAGAATAATTTTCCTTTCCTATCCCATTTTTAGACCAGACTTAGAGAAATTCAACAATCTAGTGTCTCCTATGTTCTCAGCCAATGGACTCTCAATGAGCTTAATCTAGATTCTCTGTTGACCAGGTTCATTTGTCATTCCTTTTATCTAAACATCATTTTGTTCAAAGACCTCTTTCTTAGGTCTTTCCCAGCTTTGCTCACTGGTGCTGTCAAGCCACCTGGGTCCATTTCCTCTACTAGCAGTTCATATCCACACTCCCTTTTGGAACTTACAATGTACATTTGCATATAAAAAGACAGTCACCATCTTGTCCCCCATTGTCTCCCCTTCAAACGTGTTTAAATAGAATCTTAACAATTTGGAACTGAGAGGGCCCTGAGGGATCACCCAAACATTCTTCTAACTTCATAAAGAGAACATAAAGAGAACAGACCTGCAAGGTTAAGTGACTTGACAGAAATACGGCCTGAGCTCAGATTTTTTGATCCCCAGTCCAGTGGTCCTAGGAAGTGGTTCAAGCTTCCCAGTGGCATATGAGATGATTCATCCCAGAGAGTAAATTTAGTAATTTACAATGGGGAATGAGATGTGTCTCACACAAGACTAGTTATCTACATGGTGATCTACCCAAAGATAAAATCACACTCAGATGCTTTTTGGTAAAGGGGGGCTTAGAGATTAGGAGTTGGATTTTCTTAAGGGATTGATGTGCTGGAAAGAGCACTGGCCTGGGAGTTAGGAGGCTGATTTTAATTCTAATTCTCCCATTAACCAGCTGCAAGTTCTTCATGTCACTGGGCCTCATCAGCTAGACAGCAGCAAATTAGACAATTACCTTTAAGTCCCTCCTAGCCCCACATTTAAGCTTCTGTGATTCTAAATTCTTGGAATTGCTCTGTCTTTATGTTTTCAGTATCCCTTTTATGTTTTAACACACAAACCTTTAGCCTTTGGTCGAGGGTCTTTTCAATCCATAATCACCTAGTTTTGGGAATAGAGTCATTTTTGTCCTATCATGAGCATTAGGTAAATTCCAGATTCTTGAATAAAGTGTTCTTAAACACACACACACACACACAAACCAGGTATCCACAGCTGTTGATTTGATCTTCCTCATCCCCTCCTGGAATCTCTGAATTAATATAGCTCCCCCCTACTCACCATTATCTATTCATTCTGTCTCCATGGAAAGGCCCAGAGTGCTCAGGGAAGGCAGAGCCACGTTGCATGTGAAATCTAGACGAGTCCATTTGGTAGTCTCCACAGCTTCCTGCAACACCAAATCACAGTGTCATTAGCTTCAGATTGTTATGACAGGGTCTCTTAATTCAAGTCTGTGATAGTGCTTTTAAATCACAACATCTATTAAGTGTTTTCATTTATTTAAAGAATGTCCACTGCCCCCAGGGCCTCTGGGCATGGGTACAAAACACTGCTATCAAGAGGAGTCCACGGCAGCTCTCAGTAATCAACTAGCTGTTCATTATCACACTTTCACCGGTAACACTAAGTACATCAACAAGGATGAACTATCAGAAACATATGATTCTTGTTCACACTTACATAAAATAGTGACAGTGCTGTTAGTAATTAGTTACCAGATCCTCAATTGCTTTGTTCTTTGGCATTAGTAATATGCCACTTGAAGTTTTACACCAAATTAACATTACCCACATTCAACTGTTTCAAAGCCCTTTGAAAATGTGCTATCCTTCTTTACACACAAAGACGACACGCCTGACAGTAACACGTGCATTTGAATCATTTGCTTCCAGCCTTAAGTTAAGAGTGTACAGAGACATCTATTTCCACCTGACCCATTTTGGAACAGGATCATTTTATTCTGAGGTTATTAGCCGGAGTTAAGAGATTTGTCCACCATTACAAAAAATTATTTCACTATACGAAGCTAACTTACCTGTCTCAGGAATAAGTTTATTAACATGTAACCCTGTCAAACCATCAGCCTAACAGATTAAGATGAGGGAAAGCAAATTCTGAATATAACCAAGGCACTTACTCAACTAGGACTCAGCCTGGTTCCAAGCTCAGCTCATAGACAGAAACGTAATGCCAGAATTTGGGGGATAATATTAAATAATTTTGTAATCCATGCTAAGTCCCTTAAATTCCATTTCTATTTTTCTATTTGTAGAAAGCAAATGATATCTGTTGATATCTAAATTTCTTATGAAAATGAATGAGGTAGCAATTACATGAATTACTTCCATTTTTAAGAGAAAGTGCTTCTGGAATGAAGAGGATTAGTGGAGACTAGGCAGGATCCCAAAACCGGGCTCCAAATTCTGTTCCAAAAATGTGGGTGTCTACACTGTTAAAAGAAACAAAAGCTGGATCTAATTCCATTGGAAGTAACTACCCTCACTTTTGCCTTATAAATGACCCTGTAGAAAATGTTTACATAATACCTAGGGATTTATTTTTTGTTTTCCACTGACACTATAAATCAAATGTTTTCCATTGACATTGTAACTAGAAAATTGGATCTAAATCTTCTCACTGGTTAACACAGCCTTGTAAGATCTGGAGTCACGTAGCTTAATTTCCAAATCCATCTGAAACCCCCAGAACTTTGACTACCCATTTCCAATTGAAATATGAATGTGTCAATTAGCTATCTGGCTGAGACAGGACACATTGAATTCCAAAGCTCCAGATTTTGACATAGGATTAAATGCTTTCAATGCTATAAATGCATATCCTAGAATTACATTTAATCTTTTTCTTTTCTGTATTTTGAAGTAATTAAGTGTTAGGTTGTTGTTGTTATTGTCATTGAATGTGTTGTCTTTTATGTATGGAAATTCTCCTGACTCAACAACAGAAAAACATGCTTCTGTGGTTTTCTCTTAGTAGAAACTCCATTGCATTGCTCACCATTTCACCGAATTCCTCTTGCAACCATATGGAGCATGACTGGTCTGATTAAAGGGGCCCCTCTGTTTAACTGGAAGAATTTCGGTGAGAGGGTTTGCATTCAGTAACATGAAAGAAATTTAAATTTATGATCTTTGATTCTTATTATCATGGCCTAATAAACAGAACTAACTATCTCAGATATTATAGGAATGTAATCAAACATTTATTGGGGAAATATAACCTTAAATATTTACTTAAAGAATGTATTCTACATTCTAATAAGTTTTTACTATGTTGGCAAACAGAAAAGAATTACAGGATTGGGAACAAATGTTTTGTTCCTGCAAGTAATTATTTTGCTTAAAACAAAATGCTCAACTTTTTTTTCCTTTCCACAACGTGAATTCTTTGATCCTTTTGTATAAAAGGCTTAGATGATCTGTTGTCTCTAACCAGAATGACTGCATATGTTCAATAATATATCAGTTTCATCATCCACCATAGAATAGGCACATATGACAATAAATCATTTTGGGAACTTCCTGAATCTCTGCCAAGTTGTAGACAATAAAAGATCCTGCTTGTAAAGGCAGCTATAAAAGTTAATTTCATACAGGTTCCCCAGCACACATGCTACGGTTCAGTTCCAAACAGATGTGAGCTTGGAACAGCAGTGGAAAAGAGCAAGAAGCATTTTTGCTAACTTTCCGTATCAGGAGATCCAAATACTTCATGTTTTGTGCAACCTTTGGTCATTAACACATTGCAGCAGGTATGAAAAATGAATTATTCAAGCTTTTCTAATGCCTAAGATGCTATTGTTTCCAGTCTAAAGTATCCCTCCACATTCAAAAGATTATCCACCAAGCCAGACATGCAGAAACCAAGAAAATCCTCACTGAACAAAATAACAAAGACAACAGCAGACATTTGGAGCTTCACTTTGAGAGAATTCTCTTGAAACAAGAACTTTCATTTATTTCCTTCCTTGCTTTGGACTGTAGATGTCCTAGCAGATAGCTGCAGAGAGTTAGCCACTCCACTCACCCATGTCGTCACCAGGAAGAGGAGATTTGGAGGAAAGAAGGTTAGACTTCAGCAACATCAACACAGTTACGTGAATGGGTTTAAAATATCCGTTTTTCAAGGATCGCACTTAGTCCTTGGTCACAAAGGTCACTAGAAACTCTTTCCCTACCCCTGCCAAGGACCAGTGTTTACCTTTATTTATTCCTAAGATTCCCATGATTTTAGGCTAAAACCATGTTTCTCCTGATTTCAAACAATAGTCAGGTTCTCAGCAAGTCACATGTTCATCTGAAGTTTTGCAATTGGAACCATTCTCTATGCATCAGCAGAGCTTCATATTAAAGATTTCTCTGGAATTGATTTGCAACAATAATGATCAATCCTTCAGTTTATCTTTTGCTGGAGTGGGGATTTCTTAATGTGATAAAGACAGGCTCTCTTTACGAAGCCCTGCTGATCTTGAGAGTGCAGAGCACAACTGGTATCCGAGACCTTGTAGGACAATTAAGTGCCCAGAGATGAATGAGGGCATCATTAACATTTTAATCATACACCTGAAATTAATTAAAGCCAACCTAGGGATTGAGGTGCTCCAGGCCAGAAAAAAAGTGGAATGATGATGTTATGTTGTAGGTATGTACATTATCACATCTTACGCTGGCAGAATGTTTTAAAATTACAAATGGCACTTATTTCCATTTATTAGTTCATATGAACATCAACTCAGCCGTATAAATGTGTGAGGGATTCTTATTTTGAGGAAAGAGAGGCTCAGTGATATTAAGTGACAGGCTCAGGCCATTCCTTCTGCTATAACAAAATGACTTTAGACTGGGTAATATATAAATAATAGAAATTTATTTTTCACAGTTCTGGAAGCTGAAAAGTCTTAAATCAAGATACCAGCAGATTTCATATCTAATAAGGGCTTGTTTCTATTTCCAAGAAGAAGATATCTTCTGTCTGTGTCCTCATGCAGCAGAAGAAGCTAAAGGATAAGAAGAGACAAACTCACTCCCTCAAGCCCTTTTATAAGGGGCACTAATCCCATTCCTGAGGGCAGATTCCTCGTGGCCTAATCACCTCCCAGTGGTTCCACATCTTAATACAATCACCTTGGGGTTCAGCTTCCAACACAGAAATTTTAGAGGGACACTGACTGTTGACCCTTAAACAACATGGTTTTGAACCATGAGGGTCCACTTACAGGCAGGTTTCCTTCTGCTTCTGCCACCACTGAGACCACAAGACCACCACCCCCACTCCTCCTCAGCCAACTCAACATCAACATGATGAAGACAAAGACCCTTATGATGATCCACTTCCATTTCATGAATAGTAAATATAGTTTCTCTTCTTTATGATTTTCTTAATGACATTTTCTTTGCTCTGGTTTATTTTATTGTAGGAATATAGTATATAATACACATAACATACTAAGTATGTGTTAATTGACTGTTTATGTTGTTGGTGAGGCTTCTGGTCAACAGTAGGCTGTTAGTAATTAAGTTTCAGGGGAATTGAAAGTTCCACACAGGCTGGGCGCAGTGGTTCATGCCTGTAATCCTAGCACATTGGGAGGCTGAGGCGAGAGGACCACTTGAGCTCAGGAGTTAGAGACCAGCCAGGGCAACATGGCAGAAACCTCATCTCCACTAAAGGTATTTTTAAAATTAGCCGAATGTGGTAGTGCATACCTGTAGTCCCAGCTACTCGAGAGGCTGAGGCAAGAGAATCATCTGAGCCGGGTGGGGCATGGGGGGTGGTCGAGGTTGCAATGAGCTGTGATCACACTACTGCTCTCCAACCTGGGTGATAGAGCAAGCCCTTGTTAAAAAAAAAACAAAAAGTTCCTATGCAGATTTTTCTCTCCATAGGGGTGGGAGTCAGTGCTCCTAACTCCCACACTGTTCAAGGGTCTAATGGCATATTAAAACCATACCAGGGATAACCCTAAAAAAGGACAAAGGAGACAAAGGCCACAATCCCAAGGGCACAGCCCTGAAAAGGCAGTAGGCCAGGAGTCGCTGCACAGCCCAGAGCACCACTCGCACAGTGTCCAGGATCTTTGCCCACAGGGACGTCCGCATGGAAGACATGGGAAATGAGGTTCTTCTGACAGCTCGGCCGCTGACCACCTGTGGTCTTGGAAAATCACTTTAATTCTTGGGCTTCCCTTGTCTCATCTTTAAAAGCGAGGAGGGTGGACTATAAAATGAACCCTAAAGCCCCTTAAGATTTGACCTTCTACATACCTGCTCTGGATGGAGATAGTGGAGATGAGCTGCATGTATTGGTAAAAGACAGTAGGAAATGTGCTTTGGGAGCCTTGGGCTGATAGTCCGCCTGCTCCTTAGTGATGTGTTATCACAAGTACTTTGCTTTTTCAAAAAGTAGGGCCAGGTGTGATGGCTCACACCTGTAACTCCAGCACTTTGGGAGGCCAGAGGCAGGCAGATCACTTGAGTCCAGGAGTTTGAGACCAGCCTGGGCAACATGGCAAGATCAAGTCTCTACAAAAAAATACAAAAATTAGCCAAGAGTGGTGGCCCATACCTGTGGTCCCAGCTACTAGGGAGGCTGAGGTGAGTGAGACCCCGTCTCAAAAAAAAAAAAAAAAAAAAGAAAGAAGAGAAAAAGAAATAGGCACACATGTGTCAAGCCATAAGCAGGGTAAGCTCAGAGCCAGAGGGTATTTGTCCTTGAACTAGGATGGGAGACAGAACAAAACAGAACCCGGTGCTGGCCATCTAAGAGCAGAGAGCAGAGCAGTGAGAAATGAGGTCACCCTCACTGGCCTCTGCACAACTCTCAGTTGGTTCCTCCTGGGGTTGGCTTTCAGATTATTGTTTGGTTTTCTCCGAACCAGGAGCATATGGTTTTGCCTCACCAAGAAGGTCAGAAACTAAATACCCGGACTGTGACTAGCCTGGTCCTTGCCTGAGGAACTAAGCCTGTCACCGTATCTCTCTCCAGATTCCTCCAACCTCTACGTTTGACCAACTGGACTTGTGCCACAAGCAGGAACGGACCTCACATCCCATCCTGTTGCTAGTGTTCTTCCCTCCCTCCCCCATTTTGCAATTCAGAACACAGCGGGTCTTCATTGGCAGTCTGTCAGTGGGTATTAAAGGTCCCAACGGTTTAAAGTGTACTCTGCGGCATTCAACAGAAGTAGGACTGGATTGACGTCCAGATGCTAAAAGGAGAACGATTCCTTCATTTAGCATCCCATGAAAACCACAGTCCTATGTTTACAATAACTAGAACATCTATAGCAAGTAACAATTTCTTTCTATCATTGTCTGTTGTCATCAGAACAGACCAATTTATAAGATCACAGAGCTAATTTTGTTTTATTTTACTTAATGGGTCTGCTCTTTGCAAACCAACTGAGTATTCTATAAAATAATAAATGGTACCATAGTGGCAGGAAGAGTTCTCTTCCAGCTCCCAAAGCACAGCTTTCTACCTGGCAGGATATGGATCACTGGTTTTCAGTCCATATTACTTCCTAGAAGGTGTGGGCTGCAAAGGAGTTATGCTTTATGTATTCCAGTGTTTGAAACACAGCTCTTTTAGCCCACAGAAGAGTACTCTGTATTGAGACACTCCTCTGGCAGGGTCTTCACATCTTCGCAGACCAACCTTGTGAGGTAGAAATCTAGCAATGGACTTTCCATTTGACAGAGGAAGAAACTGACAGAGAGAAGAGAGGAGCTGTTTGTCCAGGCCATGTTTGTCCGGAAACACATGCCTGGCTTTCAGACTCGTTTTGCTCCATATCACCAGCTCTGGGTGTCAGCGGTAAAAGCTGTCTAAAGCAAAGGCCCTTGATAGTCAACATGGATCTCCTTCCATCTTGGAAATATTTTTGGCATCCTGGTAGATAACCTAATAATGCCCTTGGCAGCTCCTCCAAGCAAGTTAACTTTGGTAACATGTTAACCAATGTTATAACCTTGCCATCTAGATAGAAGATTTCCACAAGTTAGCCTCTCTTCAAGGGAGAAAGAAGAAGTCATAAACGGGTACAATTGTCCAAAAATTCCCCCTGGCATTTTCACCATCACTGGGCAGAGATTGTTCTTCCCAATTATAAAATGTACTTTAATCCCAAAACAATTGCCTAAGTCTTATGCCTTGGGAAAGAAAATGAACCATGACGACATCTCTAAAGACAATTCCAAATGTTTTAGAGAACTGTTATATCGAAAGGAGCATGGGAACAGATTTTCATAGTCCCTGTCCAACCATCGCAATTATTTTTTAGTTTCATACCCTGAATAGTTGATCTTCAAAATGCCCAAGTTGATACCAGGCCATTCAAAGCTGTTTAAAAGTAAGCTGACACTTGAGGAATAACAGTCACAGTCATAATACAATCTAACATCTCTACAATGCTTGAGAGTTGACCGTGTATCTTTCCATTTATCATATTTAATCCCCACAACTTCTCTAAATTGGCCTCTCTTATCCTCATTTTGTAAATTAACAAGTGTGGCCAAAAATGGCCAGAAATGGTGTTCCTGTCCCAGTTTTCTAAATTGAAATCTAAAAGCTTCTTTCATGATACCAAAAATAAATCTCAGCCATGCCAATTCTATTTACAACATATATTGGGGAATCTTAAATCAAAAAAAAAAAAAAAAAGAATAACTTTACATTGCCATAATTGTGTATGGACTGATCTTGAAAATGGGTAAAACATTATCATACAAATCAACAGGATTAAGTACTGAACACCATTATTTGGCAGCTGAGCTTTGAGACCTTGCACAATGCTGTGCCCATCTTAGAATGTTTTCCCAAAAACCAACCAAAATTACTCCAGTTCTCTGGGGCAGAAATCTTTTGGCTCTCCCATGGCTTGCCTGTGTATTTCAGGAGATTTCATCATCTCATCTCATCTCAGTCTCTCATATGCCCCCAGGGGAGGAGACTTCAAATTCTGGGTAGAGTTCTACACTGTCAACATCTATAGGGTGCAGGTGATTTGTAAAACAGTGTTCAGCAGCCACAGTCTATTCCCTGAAACTTCCTTGCAAAAGAACAAATCACCCCCTCACTGACTACCAAGTGAATGCAATTTAGGGCTGCATGTTATGGGCCTAGGGGAAAAGGCCAGGTATAGACTTGACCTGGAGAGAACAAAGATAAAGATGTTTGGGCAGCAATTGATGTTAATTGTTTGTCTCCTCAATTAGAATTTTAATCTTTCTTCACTGGTTGTTTTTCCCAACTCTTAAGACAGTATCTGGCAAATAATCAGGATTAAATGAATGTGTGTTAGAAGGGAAGGAAAGAAGAGAAGCATAGAGAGACAAAGGCTAGGGAAAAAAAGGAAGAGAGGGTATGGATGGAAGGAAGGAAGAAAGGAAGGAAGGAGAGGAGGAAGGGAGGAAAAAAGGAGGGGAGGGAGGGCAGGAGAGAGGGAGAGGGGAAAAAGGGAGGGAAGGGTTGGGGGAGGGAGGAAGGGAGGGACAGGGCTTATTTTTCTAAGGCTGCCTCCAGGAAAACAGAGCAGGGATAAGTAGGTTCAAGTTGGTAAGCTTTTAAATCTTCTTATCACAATGTCTTGCTTCCCCACCTCCCTCCCCCTGTAGAGTCAGCACATCCAGCCTAGAAGCAAGACTCTCCTCCTACATTACAAACAAGAGTGTCTGCCTAGGAGGGAATGTCTTCATCATAGAAAAAAATGCACCCTTTCCCACTGTGTCTAAATTCCTCCAGGTTTCCTCCCTTGGCCCCAGGAGCCCAAACAGCCTTGGACCTGCATCCCTGAGGGAGGTCTTCCAGCCTCACTGGGAGTCCAGCCTTTCTGTCCAGCCCATTAGCTGCACCATGGAGCCCAAGTGTGGCTCATCTTTCTAGCCTTGGCTTTGCTCGTGCTCCACAAACAAATGGATGGGTCAGCCCAGAATATCCAGCCTGTTTCCTGCAGAAGCCATGTTTTCTCTCATATCCCAAACCTTCGTCAGGTGGGTTCTGTTTCCAGTTTATAATGGGCCCCCTCCCCAACATTCTCAGCCTCCTCACACAGCTTCTAAAGGGCTAGGGGTATCATGTTCTCCAGCTCCGCAGACACCTGTTGCTTGCCCTCAGCTCCTGACTCCCCAGTTCGCAGGGTCAGTACCACTTAAAGATGTATTCAGTGCAGAGAGAAGGGAATTTCTCCTGTGCTGTTAGTTGCCTCAGCTTTGTCCCCAGCTCCTCTGGCTGGTTTGGTTACTGCCCTGTGTTTAGATCAGAGCTAAAATTTGGGGGTTTTTTAGCTACTTCTGAAGGACTGCTCCCAGGCTGTGAGTATTGATGGGTAACCACAGGGAATGCCTTCAGAGGTTCTTCCACTTACTTACAAGGACTATGCTAATCCCTTTTTTTAGGAATTGGGGAGTGAGGGAAGGAAGGAAGGAAGGAAGGAAGGAGGGAGGACATTAGCATTACAAGGACAATGCTACTCCCTTTTTTAACATTACAAGAACAATGACCTCACAAGAACAATGCTAAGCCCTTGTTCTTAGGAAGGAGGGAGGGAAGGAAGGCAGGAAGGCAGGAAGACAGGAAGGAAGGGAGGGAGGGAGGAAAGAAGGGAAGGAAGGAAGGAAGAGAGGGAGGGAGGGAGGAAGGAAGTTGGCTTCACTAAGCAACTTTTACAAACTAGACCCAGCCCAAAGTGCTTTACCTGTAACACCTCTTTTATTCTCAGGATCAATTCTGTAATGAGGTGCATATTATCATCCATATTTTACAGAAGAGAAAACTGAGGTTCAGAGCAGTTAAGTAAAGTGATCATGATCACACAGCTAATAAATGGTCGAGGTGGTACCCCAAACCATAGACGTCTGATCCTTTGGACAGTTCTAGATTTTCCTCCCACTACCTCCTCCTCCTGGATTGCTGTCTTAATCCCTATACTATGGTATCTACCTTTCTGGGAAATCTAAGAATTTATTAACGAGTGTACTTTTTCTGCCTCTATTGGCTTTATGGAGAAGGAGTATCTTTTATGTAAAAATGAAATATAAATGTTTGTCTCATAAAAATAAAAAACTCCACTTTTTCATGAAATCACAGAAATTGTCAATGAGAGCTGTCTTGTCAAAGTAAACAAAACTACTACACCCACAGAGAGTAAAACAGAAAAGCTGGCTCTACTCAAGATTTATTTTGCAACTGATTCAGATTAAGGGGAGGCTCTTAGGGAATTTTACTTTAGGAACTATATCAGAGGCTGTAATACCCATTCTCCCCATCTCTAACAATGGAACTCCCACATTGTACTTGGGCACAGCCCTTCAGATGAAGACTACATTTCCCAGGCTCCCTTGCAGCTTGGTGTGGCCATGTGATCAAGTTATAGCCAATGAGATGTGAGCAGAAGGATAAATACCACTTCTAGGTCACAGCCCTGGGAAACAACACAAACCCATGGTTCTGGCTTTTTTCCTCCTTCCTGCTGGCTGCAGCTGTAGCTGCTTCCTTGGACCCAGCCCCAGCCTGCTGACCTCTGCACACTGTTACATAAGAGAAAAGGAAACTTCAATCCTATTTACATCACTATAATTCAAGATCTTTCTTTTTTTAATACCTTATCTTTAAGGAAAAGATAAGCCTGTGCCCTAACAAATACAGGGGCTCAGGACTTCCACCTTAACAGTACGACTGACAAGGAACACATTTAAATTGTGATTTATTCAAGTCTCATGTTCATTTGAGTTTTTAATTATATGTCAATCGATTTACCAATCAGTTAATATTTTTGGTCATCTGCTCCATTCAAGGCACTCTACTTGGCACTAAGATAAACAGACAGTCCCTGACTTACAATGTTCAACTGAACGATTTTATGATGTTATGATGGTGCGAAACTCGTATGCATTCAGTAGAAGCCGTATTTCAAGTACCCATACAACCATTCTGTTTTTCACTTTCAGTACAGTATTCAATAAATTATATGATATTTTCAAGACTTGTTTATAAAATAGGCTTTGCATTAGAGGTGTCTGCCTAGCTGCAGGTTCATGTAAGTGTTCTGAGCATGTTTCAGGTAGGCTACGCTAAGCTACGATAAGTTCAGTTGATGAGGTGCACTTAATGCATTTTCAACCTACAATATTTTGAAGTTATGATGGCTTTACTGGGACCTTACTCCATTGTAAGTCGAGGAGCATCTGTGTATGACGTTATCCAGCCCTTAAGAACTTCATCCTCAAGCCAGGAAGACCAAACGGACACAAAAATACTTCAGAGCAGTGCTGTACATTATTAACCTCCACACAAGAGGCACCAATGGCGAGCATGGTGGAGCTATGCAACTTAAACCTTCATGAATAACACCATTCCAGGGTCAAGGGGTCTCCCAATTTGAGATAAGATTTTGTGGTGTTTGAATCTGTTTTTCCTTTCCCAAATCACTTATTTTCCCTCTGCTTCAAATTCTCCAGTTATGGATGGTCCCAGGCTGATTATCAATGTCTTCTTCCTTTTGACTTTATGACTTGGACTCCCAGCGCCTCCAATATGTCTTCCTGTTTCTGGTCCTAGAGGACATGGAATTGGTCCCAGTCCATTGCATATTTTGTTTTTAAGTCATGCACTGTTAATATTTGAGATAATCTCTCAGTACCTCTGTTCCTGCTGCCCATATAACAAATATCTGTGTGTTGTCCTATTGGCCCGTGTTGTGCCTCATGCTGAGTGACTCAAGAGCCAGAGAAAAGTGGCTATGTAAATTGGCCTGGATGTCCAGGCACCAAAACTAGAAAAGGAAAGGACAAGCAGGCCTGAACAAAATCAGGAGATGGATTGATGAAGAGAGGAGTAATATACATGGATTTTCATTCCATGTCATAGACATACAAATCTGGAGCTGGATCTTTAAACTAATCAATTGTTTCATTGTTCGCTAAAGGGGAGGGTAATGTCTGTCCACAATATTGACCAACATTAAATAAAACACACACACAAGAAATGGAGTTTCATCTGTCACTTTGGATTAGTTACCTCTCCAAGACAGGCATGTGGGGGAACTGGAAACATTTCTTTCTTTTTTTTTTTTTTTTTTTTTTTGCGATAGAGTCTCATTCTGTCACCCAGGCTGGAGTGCAGGAGCCTGATCACAGCTCACTGTAACATCCGTCTCCCGAGTTCAAGCGATCCTCCCACCTCAGCCTCCTGAGTAGCTGGGATTATAGGCATGCACCACCATGACTGGCTAATTTTTGTGTTTTTAGTAGAGACAGGGTTTTGCCATGTTGTTCAGGCGGGCCTTGAACTCCTGGCCCCAAGTGATTCACCCGCCTCAGCCTCCCAAAGTGCTGGGATTACAGGCGTGAGCCACTGAGCCCGGCCAGAACTGGAGACATTTCTAAATGTTATGTGAAATTGAGAGTGGTCTCCATCTAGCTATGAGGGAACCACATGTGATACAGAGAAAAGAGAATTTGATTTTGTGTTAGAGGAGCTTCTCCACTACTTACTACCAGTGTAACTCATCGGGTGACAGTATTTTCATGTCTAAAAATGGAATAGCAATGCAGGAGTGCCCTGTAAATTACTGAGAAATGAAAGTGCCTGGTACACTGCTTGACCCAGAGTAACTAATCATGAATTGCTAACTCAATCAGAAATGGACTTTTTAAAATGCTAACATCTGTTCTAAAATGAAAAGAAGAACCTAGAGTGACACGGAGAGAAGGGCTGACAGAATGTGATACGCAAAGACTAAGAAAATGATGCCTGGGCAGAAACCTACCTCTGCTAAAAAGAAGGGATTTCAGAAAACATGAGAAAACTGGCAAAGCCACAGCATGAAGCGACAGAGAAATGTGTAGGGATGCTCTGAAGCCAGAGGGGATCTCCAAGGACATGAACCCAGGAAAGAAAAAGAATAATTCATTGAATTCCTCTAGGAGCAGGACAACGGAGCAGTCTTAGCCTAACAGAGACTGGACGGTGCATAGGGATTATTTTCAGCCACAGATGAGGGAGGGGACTTGCAGAACTTCAAGGAAATCTATGAAGGGAAACTGGAGAGTGATACAAAAGCCTGAGTTAAACTGCATAAAGAATAGTTTGCAATTCTACATACCTATCATTTGCCAGATAGTTGCAGAGTTGGCCCCAGTAGATTTCCATATGTTGTGCTAAAATCGCACTGGAGGCTGACTGAGCATTTGTGGCTTTTCAGAGATGCCAGTTTTGGTGAGGGGGTTGGGGGTTGCTGGGGGCAGTCACCTGCATCGTGCAAGGATAGAAATAAATGATATCATCCCTAGGGCACAGAAAGCAGAGCTGTGGGGGCCTCTGGGTCGTGTCCCTCCCCGCTGCCACTCCTGCACACCTGTGCTAGCAAACACTCCAGATTCTGGTCTCTGGGCCCACCCGGAGCCTGTGCTGTTCCTCGACTTGTAAATTTTAAAACCTTTTCTTTCTTTTTTTTTTGATATAGAGTCTCGCTCTGTCATCCAGGCTGGAGTGCAGTGGCACAATCTTGGCTCACTGCAACCTCCACCTCCCCGGTTCAAGTGATTCTCCTGCCTCAGCCTCCCGAGTAGCTGGAACTACAGGCATGTACCACCATGCCCAGTTAATTTTTTTTTTTTTTTTTGTATTTTCAGTGGAGGCAGGGTTTCACCGTGTTAGCCATCTCCTGCCCTCATGATCTGCCCACCTTGACCTCCCAAAGTGCTGGGATTACAGGCATGAGCCACCGCTCCCGGCCCTAAAACATTTTCTTTTGCAGAGTGAAAGACCAAGTAATCTGGAGTCCACCAGCCCTCCCCTCACTTGTGTACAGCAGTTTGGTCACTGCAGAAACATCCACCCTGGCTGGTGGGTAAATACCCCATAAGACAGAAAAATGACTTCCTCCAAGGGACTCCTGATAATTAGACAAGACAGTGGAGAAATTCCTTCCCTGAGCCCCTGATTTCAAGGCCATGGCTACATCCATGATAAGGTATGTTTCTGCTTTGCTTTCTCCAGAGAATCAGGGAGAAATCCCACTCCATCCCACCACTACAGCCCCCGGCTCGTGAGCAGAGCTCACGAGGTGGTGGTACCTTCTCCATCCCCACGCCTGGGGCACAGGGAAGAGCAAGGAAATTCTCAGAACAATGCAGCATAAGACATGATTTCTCCATGGGTCCCAACCTTCCCTTTCATGGGTCTCCAGTCCTGCCTCCCATTCTGCACTCTGCACCCCCATCTTTGCAGAGCCATCCCTAAGTCACACGCACCGTGGAAGAGAGGAGACAGGGTAACAGCACTGTGCCTGCCACCTGACCACAAGCCCAGGCAAAACTGTGGTTTGACCCACATGGGGCGGGCAGATGGCTCTGTTAATGCCTGTGCTTCCCTCGGACCGCTCCAAGCCCTAAGGCATGAGGGAGGATCTGTCAGCACAGGCAGCTCATCCACCCGGCTCTCACCACCCAGTTTCAGCAGGACTGAAAGACCGCGGTGCACTTTTGCTTCCCTGGACACTCAAAAAGCTCAGTGATGTTTATTTTCCTTTGCTCAGTCTCCTCTTTTCACCACCAGGACAGTGTGAAGTCAAAAATCTGTGCTCAGCACAAGACACAGCAGAGAAAGAGGAAGAAACTGGCACAAAATATTTTCTCCAGCGTGCTGCCTGGGGAGCCTGGCTTTGACTTCGACATGTGCTGGAGGTGTGGTGTCCAAAGTAAACCTTTTGAACTGTTTTTTTGGAACCTCCAAAAAGACCTCGCACATCAAAGGGGATCTGATCCCCCATGAGGTGCATAGCAGGCATCGTTAAGCATTTTGCATGAATCAAACACCTTCTGAAAAAGAAAGGAAGCCCAAACTCATAGCACATGGCCAGCCCGTGTCCCCGACCACAGGCAGCCTCGAGCACATGCTCACCACATGGCTTCGCCTGGTTGGGTGGAATCAAACCCTGCAGAGGCACAGGGGCTTCTCCATCACAGGAGCCGCTCTCTGTGCACTCCCAGGCTGGGATACAATGGGGCTGCTTGTTGGAGCAGCCTCACGACCCCGGCCTAGGCCCGCCTCAGGGGAGCCCAGGCAAACTCTGACTCCAGTCACAAGGGGAGCCCTGCTGGGCCGCCCCACCCCAAACGCCGAGGCAGGATGCAATCTGGGGCTGAATACAGAGTCCAGTGTGAGTCCTTGGCACGGCGCCCAGAAAGCCACGCAGCAGCGATGGGCTTGGTGGAGAATTCCAGGCTCTGAAAGAAAGCAGAGCAGGGAACAGAGCCGGAGCCTTGAGCCTCTTCTGTCATCTTCCCTCCTGGAATTCATTCGGCTTACCACAGGCAGCTGCAGCCATGGGCAGAGCATGAGCTCAAACTTCAGAGGCCATGGTTGCCCAGACAGTCCCAGAAACTGATGACACGTGCTTCTCTTGACCTGCCTGAGGAGGAAGGAGCTTTCAGGCCCTTTCCCAACAGCTATGCTACCTGCACAGTGGCAGCCATCCTTTGAGGGCAGAAGGAAGGGATTTAGAAATCACTTGTGCCCTCTCAATAACCTTCAAAGTGCCCGGGAGACACCAAACCTCAGATTTCACTGGAGGTACATACAGCAGTTTTTAAAACAAGATTCTGGGCCGGGCGCGGTGGCTCACACCTGTAATCCCAGCACTTTAGGAGGCCAAGGTGGATGGATCATGAGGTCAGGAGATTGAGACCATCCTGGCCAACATGGTGAAACCCCATCTCTACTGAAATACAAAAAATTAGCCAGGCATGGTGGCGTGCACCTGTAGTCCCAGCTATTTGGGAGGCTGAGGCAGGGGAACTGCTTGAACCCAGGAGGCGGAGGTTGCAGTGAGCCAAGATCAAGCCACTATACTCCAGCCTGGGCGACAGAGTGAGACTCTAAAATTAAAATTTAACATTAAAATTTAAAAAAAAGGTGCTATCATTCCTGACAATTGCCTCTTTAAAAGTCGTCTTCTCTGGTTAGCAAAGTTCTAGGTTCAGGAAAAGAAAAGTGTTTAAAACCACTAATGCAACCTGATTGGTAAGAGTTTTAATTAGCAGTTCCAAAACTGTGCACATTCTGAGCTTTTAATTAATATGCACAATTTCCGTTGCATTTTACTTCAATAAGAGCTATATAAAACCAGTGAGTGGGTGACATTGACATTCCATTCAAAAAAGAACTAGAAGAAGAAGGGGGCAGGAGAGTTGAATTTGGAGGAACAGAGAAGGCAAATGAGTCTCATAATTCTCTAAATTATGCCTTTATAAATAAACATTGTCACCTACACCTCTCATTGGAAGCCCTTCAGCTCATGCCCAATCAACCCCTGGAATCATTTTAACACACTGACACCCTGAACTGTGGGCCCAGACGCTGGGGATGCCAGCCAGATAATCCTCCCCTCATTCCACAAATACGGACTGAGGATGCTACATGCCAGGTACAGGCAGGTACCAAAGATGCCAAGGTGAGAGAGTTGGTCCCCACCCTCCAAGGAGCTCATAGTTTTATAGATGATCACATAAGGAGAAAAACAAAAGCTCTATGTCTAGACCACAGACACCTCAGGGGCAGAAACACTGTCTCATTTATTCTTGTACTGCCGTCATCTAGCCAGGGTCTAAGCAGAGTAGGCAATTATTAAATGTCTGTTGAATGAATACAGGGTGAAAAATGTGTGCCTCCACACATACAGTGGTGCAGCAAAGCAGGGCAGGATCAACCCTGCTTGGTGGGGTAGACCCAGATGACAGTTTCCTGGCATGCTCAAGCAAGGCCACACCAGTAGTTATCCATGGCATCTGTTCTAACTGCTCAGAACCCAATCAGACAGGTTGTTAAATATTTTTATTATCATCTACCTGGAGAAAGGTGAGATCCCAGAGCTGGATCTTAAAGACAAAATGAGAGCCTCTTAAAGTTGGGAAGGACATTCTGAACACAAGGACCAGTGCAGACAACATCAAGGAGACCTGAGCTTTGCCACACAAGTTGGGGATTGGGAAGAGGGAGGTGGGATCCTGCAGAGCCTCATCTCCTGTGCAGGGTTGCTTAGACTTTATCCTGAAGGCCATGAGGGGTCAGCACAAGGCTTTCATCAGGAAGAGCCTTGAACACTCTGATGGAAAAAGAGACAGGTCTGGGAAAAGAAACAGTTGGAGGCTTTAGAAATGGGCAAGTAAAAAAATGTCAGAGTCAGAGGTAAGACATGGGCAGAAGGGATGCATAAATACAGGGATAATTGGGAGGCAGGCTCTCTTTACACAAGATTCAGGAATGTATTGGAAGCGGAGGATAAGAGAAGAGAGCTTGGGCAATGGGGGAGGCTGGGTTCCACTAACATGATAGGAAGCTAACCTGGGTAATGGGGCAAGGGAAGTGATGAGCACTACATGGCAGGTGTTGCTTTTGCCGGGACAGATGGAGCCCCCCCGGGGTAGGCCCTAGGGTTCTCGAGCTCAGGCAGATCTGTCTGGGATTTGCATGGGGTGTCTTCCACAATCTCATGAAAACACACATCACACACACACACACACACACACACCCCTTCCAGAGATTTCAGAATGTGGCATTCCCCTGATAAGAACACTTCCATGTTTGATGAAAACCTGATGCTAGTTCAGAAGACGCCACGGAAAACAGTGTACAATTAGAAGGCAGTGATGACACCGATGAGTTAGAGTTCTGATAAAGCTGACTCCAGGAAGACAGCCAAATAGGGAGAAACGCTCAAGCTTCATTTTTCATATATGTTCTGAAGAGTTCAGAAAGAAGCCCTGGTGCTCTCAATAACCTCAAGGAACCTTTTCCCCCTTTAAAGAGGAAAAGAAATTTTAAAAGAAACCTCCTTAGAACGTCCATCAAAGCCTTAGCCTGTGCTCGTTGCTCAGTCTAAAACACCCGCAGGCTTCCAAAACAGTGGTGGTCCCACCAGACATCTACCTGTTGAATTCTAAACAAGAAATCCTGAACGATCGATAGATGGATTGCCTTACTAGCTCCTTCCCTTCAGATATTTTTCTTGTGGTCCTGGCTTCCCCAAGAGACAAGAAATTCTTAGTATACCTTCACCTCAATCACTCTACCCTGGATTCAATGAATCCATTTCTATCTGGTGCACCCTGTAATTTCCAGGTGGAGAATAAAGCCCCCCAAAATATTCAAACCTATATGGTTGTAATACAGCCAAAGGGACCTTCATGATCAACTTGATCTTCCACTTGACCTGCCTGTGAATTAAGTCAGTCCTGATAGTCTCATTTTACTACCCGGCTGGGGCATGGAGAGAATAAGTAAGTCGTGTTACCAAAACACCAGGGGTTTGGTCTAGGACCTGCTGCTCGCCGCACAGAAAGCCAGTCGCTGACATCATGAGTATTGCCAGGAAGAAGGCTTTAATCAGGTGCTGCCAATGAAGAGATGGGAGCTCAGTCTCAAATCCGTCTCCCTGACCCTCTGAAACTGGGAGTTTATATAGCAGGAAGAAAGGTAACAATGTCTAAGAAAACAGAAGGAAACAATCACGATAAATGAGGAGTCTGGCATTTCACTGTCTGGATGGGAGAATCTGGTGAGTTTCAGTTATTTGATACTTTTTGAGAGGTCTAGGGATCCCTTCCCAAGGAAGGAACTCAGATAAAACAAATTTGGGTTTCAAGCTTTAAGACCAGAAAGTTCAATTTCTATGTTTATCCAAAAACACCTTTCTATGGGACTCTTGGGTGGGTTTCAGTAGCACCAGACAATGCCGCAAATTGGCTGTAAGAGCTCAGCCTTAGCATAAGGGCTCCAGTTAGGATGGTCAGGAATCCCTGCCACTTAGAGAAATGAATTCTAGCTATCCCTGTGAAGGGGGCAGTCTGTGTATTACTTTGCCAACTATTAGACTCCCTTCAGTTCAAATACAAGGTGGACACTTAAGCCAGCCCAGGCAAGCTGTCCTGGAAAAGGTGCACACTGAGGGGTTCACAGGCTTCTTAGCTCAGCAAGATCTTGTGTCTTACAAACATAGTTGGTACTTGTTACGTGAGGTAGTTCTGTTCTACCCGGAACACTGAATTAGTGAATACTGAACCATTGCTCCTAGGGAAAAGACAGGTTAGGTTGCTGTGAGCATTTAATTAGAACATTCTTACCAACTGAGCAATGTGTGACCTTTTATATGTGTGTTTCTGTTTAAAGACACCTTATTTAACATATATTGTTGATTTATGAACATCGAACACATGCCCAGCAGCACTATAACTCATGCCTAAAGGAAGGTTACCCAACACACGCGTCTTCTCTGTAGGGCATATCACAGCCTTCTGGCACTTAGGGACACTAGACAGCTCTTCAGAACCACACATGGAGGCCACGTTAAACAGGAAAATGACCATAAAAAGCACGAAAATGTGAAAAATGCAGCACCAAATAAATCATAGGAAAAACACGTGTTTACAGGATGAAAGCTGAAACAGGAAGGCAGAGTGAGGTCTTGTTGCACCTCGGCTGGGAACATGCCCACTGGGCAACTGAAAATTGTCCCCACTCTGAGCATGTCTGTAAATGACTGTGAACACACCAAGAGTATTGATTCGGAGATTGCGAATACATATCAGCAAGTAGGCAAATTTGCAAATACACAACCGGTGAATAATGAGAATGGACTCTAGGTTGTACTGTAACTCCTTTCTGGAACCCAGCTATTCTGTGGACAATCTAAACTAGATGTTTAAATACATTACTGCTTAAGAGAGCACATCTTCAGGGTCACTCAAGCCACTTTCATTTTGGGAGATGTTAGTATATGTATCTATATGAGCTGTATATGATATATATAGATATATATTATATATGATACATATAGATATGATACATATGACATATAGCATATACATGATATATGCTATATATGCTATATATATCAAAAATATATACATATACAGTTTGTTTTTTGTTTGTTTGTTTTTGAGACAGGGTCTTGCTCTGCTGCCCAGGCTGGAGTGCAATGACGCGATCACAGTTCACTGCAGCCTCGACCTCCCCAGGCTCAAATGATCCTCCCACCTCAGCCTCCTGGGTAGCTGGGACTACAGGTGTGTGCCACCACACCCAGGTATTGTTTGTATTTTTTGTAGAGATAGGGTCTCACCATGGATGTTAGTATATTTTTAAAAACAAAAATTAAAAAGAAGAAATGTCCAACAGGCTTATTTAAAATGCAGTATGTTTTAAGTGCTTACATTTGACACATTAATGCTTTTAACTCACAACTTGAATATAGTGCAACGTACTGGGTACTAATCACAAGATAATTAAAAGATTTTTAAAATATTAATTCATAGATCATTACAGGCAGTGTGGTCTGACGGAGGAACACGAGTTTTGCATGATGACAGCTGTCTTTTACTCCATCTGCTTGTTTTCCTGTCTATAATCCCATGTGAAGAGAATCCCAGCGTCTACATCTGAGGCCCTTTGTGAACACGTGGCTGTGGTCATCTGATCCTCCCTGTCCTCCCTGCGACAGACTCATAAAGGAAGGATGATCAAGGTCTCCTCCAGTAGTTGAACTCCCTTCTCAAGTTCATGATGCAGCTAAAGGAACCCATTGTTTTATCTGCTGGGTGAATGGAAACAGAGGCCTTCAGAAGGAAAGAGCCCAGGGCGCAGGAAAGGAGCAGGTTCCACAAAAGCCTGGTTTGAGACTGTCCTTTCCCAGGCTGCGCGATCCACCGCAGGTTACTGTCTGTCTCTAGGCCTGTTTCCTCCACTGTAGTTTGAAGATGCTTTAGACCAGGAAGGAACTGGCAAACGTTATCTGGAAAGGTCCTATTGTATTTTAGGCTTTGTGGACCAAGAGGCAAAAACAAGGGTATTTGTAGGTACTTATACAACAGGAAAGAAAATACATTTCCACAAGATTTTTCAACTATTTAAAAATATAATAAAAACTGGCTGGGCACAGTGACTCACACCTGTAATCCCAGCACATTAGGAGGCCAAGGTAGGTAGATCCCTCAAGGCCAGGAGTTCAAGACCAGCCTGACCAACATACCAAAACCACTATCTCTACTAAAAATACTAAAATTAGCTGAGTGTGGTGGCAGATGCTATAGTCCCAGCTACTCAGGAGGCTGAAGCAGGAGAATCACTGGAAGCTGGGAAGCGGAGGTTGCAGTGAGCCGAGATTGTGCCACTGCACTCCAGCCTGGGCAACAGAGTGAGTGAGACTTGGTCTAAAACAAAAACAAAAACCCAAAAATGTAATTAAAAAAAACCATTGTTCCCTCATGGGCCACACAAAAAGAGGCAGCCAGCTGGCTTTGGCTCCTGGGATGTAGCTGCTGACCCAGCTGCAGTGCAGACCAGCGCCGTCCAGCAGCCCCTTCCGTAACGATGGAAATGCTTCTGTCTGCACCGTGACCACTGCACAGTTGAAATGTAGTTAGTGTGACTGAAGAACTGAATTTTTCATGTTATTTCATTTCAATTAATTTAAATTGAAATAGGCACATGTGGCTAGTGTCTAATCACAGCTTTAAACCTTCTGTCCACTTCCTCTAGCCCTCATAGATTATGTTTCTACAGTTTACTGCCTTCAAGAGCTTCTGTCTTACGAACTTGGCAAACATAGACAAGTTTTGAAGATTTTGTTTTCGTTGATTCCTTTGGTCTGCATTTATTTTCTTCTTTTCTAGTTTTCTACAATATTCCCAGCCTGCCTGTTTCATTGTAATGCTAAATTCCTAACTGTGCAGAGACAGATGCCCCAAGGAGCCACAACAAACTGAAACTGGTACTACAGGGTTTTTAATTTTTTTTTTCTTTTAGAGACAGGATCTCGTTCTGTTACCCAGGCTGGAGTGCAGTGGCCTGATCACGGCTCAGTGTAGCCTCTACCTTCTAGGCTCAAGCAATCCTCCCACTTCAGCCTCCTGAGTAGCTGGGACTACAGGCATGCACTACTATGCCCAGCTAACTTTTTTATTTTTTATAGAGACGGGGTCGCACTACATTGCCCAGGCTGGTCTTGAACTTTAGGCATCTAGCAGTCCTCCCATCTTGACCTCTCAAAGGGCCAGGCATGAGCCACCATGTCCAGGAGGATATTTTAAATTTGAAGAAAACACACAACACTCAACATTATCAGACTGTGCATGAACTACCAGTTCGATCTACTTCTAGCTCAGATCTATCCAACCATTCGCATAGTACTACTAGCCCACAGCTTCATCACTAGCTAGTGCTTCATTCCTTTCAATGACATCATACCTTTGCGATGTCGACTTTTCAACAGTTGCAGTGATAAAAAGCCAGAAAAGTGCCTGAAAACCAACATAGAACATTGAACAGTGTCCAATCTGAGGCCTAAATTCCTTAAAGTATGACTTTTATCCCTTTCTTTCTTGCTCCCTCAAAAACTGTAACTCTCTATTTTTCTAATCTACGGAGTTCAACAACTTGCTTTACAAAACTTCCAATACCAGTTAGTCCAGACAAGAACTAAGCAACGTTTCCCTGCCAAAATCTGGCTAAGGTAAGATTATGTAAAAACCTTACGGAAGTACTTGTCAAATGTAAACAGGGCTTCCCTAACTCACCATCAGGAGTATCTTTGTTTATTTTTAGTATCTTCAGAGGAAGTTTTTATTTTACTTTATTTATTTATTTCTTTATTTATTAAGAGCCAGGGTCTCACTTTGTTACCCAGGCTGGAGTACAGTGGCAAGATCATAGCTCACTGCAGCCTGGGCTCAAGCAATCCTCCACACTCAGCCTCCCGAGTAGCTGGGACCACAGGCGTGCACCCAGCTAATTTTTTTTGTATTTTTTGTAGAGATGGGGTCCCATTATGTGGCCCAGGCTGGTCTCGAACTCCTGGGCTCAAGCAATCCACCTGCCTCGGCCTCCCAAAGTGTGGGATTACAGGCATGAGCCACCACACCGGGCAATTTATTTCTGCTTTTCGAAAAAATGGGAAGAAGCATGGTTTTGATATTTGATCAAAGGTCTCCCCACTAGGCAATAAGAGTCCATTATATATGATCATCCCTCCCAGCCAACCAGCAGCCCTTTCTCCCCATACGTGCAGTCACAGGAAGTTTAAGGAGTGACCTGTGATCTTTATGATGTTCCTTTCAACTCCCAGGGTGCTCTGGTGTCTGGCTGCTCCCTGCATAGAAAACCATTAACATTTTTTCCATTTTGATCATGGAGAAAAGCTGGGAAGCACAGCAAGTGCCCACAGGAATAAAATATACAGTCTGTGCCTTGCTTTTTCCTCTGTGTCACCTAGAACCGGAGATCCAGGCTGGAAGCTGCGCAAGGGGCCACCCCGTCCATTCCTCTGCCGATGATCAAAGCAGCTCAAGGGCTTTGTCCAGCTTCATGGGGAAATCTCTACAATAGGGCTGCCATCGCCTCCGACCCCCATCTCAAAGAGTGGGCCACAGACAAACACACTCCACCACTGGGTCAGTTTCCCGGAGGTTCTGGCTTTCAACCTATCATTTTCCTTGGCTGAGATTTAGCCCATTTTCTTTTTTCTTTTCTTTTCTTTTTTTTTTTTTTAGTTAGCCTCTTCTGTATCATCCTGGGGGGAAATCTCTCTTCTCCACTAAAAACAAAAGAAGGCCATAGGATCCATTTTTCTAAAAGCAAAAACTCCAGTCCTGTTAAAATGTCTTTGAATTCTGGCAACACCCAATGATGGGCTGATGTTGGTAGAGGAGGTATAAATATTTCTCTTATATCAAAACAAAGTGTTTATATTAAAAAAAAAAAGACAACTAGATGACTTTCTTATCCTGAGATGTAATGATTCTGTGGACATCTCTGAGGGATTTCTCAGGCTCTCTTTGCTATGTGACTGTTGTCGAATTTTCTAATCTTGTTGCACTTTCCCTACCTGCATCTGGCTCAATTCAGAGAACCCACTATGGGTCCAGCAATATTCTAGGTGCTAGAGATATGAAGACAAGCAAGCCCCAGTCCTTGTCCTCAAGTAACTCAAAGAAGAGGTAAGAAACAGATGCGTAAAAGATAACTCTAAGTGTTGCCCAAAAATGTAGCCAAAGAGTCAGGGAACTCTAAAGAGAGAATCCTGAAGGTTAATCACAGCTATTCAGGAGCATCAGGTACAGTGGAAGAGCTTATCCGGCAGAGGAAAGCACGAGCACAGGGTGGACACATGTGATGCATTCCAGAATGAGCAAAGGGTAGGGTTTCTCAGGGTCTTAGCTTGTCTCTCAGTTCCAGGCTTCCCCTCCAATCCATTCTGTACTTTAAGCCACAGCAATGTTTCTCAACTCAGTTCTCCTAAAACCCTTTGGTAGCTGCTTTCAGCATGCTTTAGAAAGCTCCACAGTCTGGCTACCTCTTCCCTCTCCAGCCTCATTTAACCACCCATCCAGTCCTTTGTAGCCACCCTCTGTTCCCACCACCAAGCCTAGCCAACTTCACGTGGTTCTCCAGGACTTAACTTGAGGTGACCTCCAGTGAGAAGTCTTTCCCAACTCCCAAGGCTGGGTTACGTATTTCTCCTAAGTGTCCCCTAAGTATCATCAGACTACATTGTAATAGCCTATTTATTTGTCTGTTGTCCCCACAGGAATGTCAGTGACATAAGAGTAGGAACTCAATGAATATTTGTGAAAGAGGGAGAGAAAGGAAGGAAGGAAGGGAGGGAGGGAGAGAGGGAGGGAGGGAAGGAAGGAAGGAAGGAAGGAAGGAAGGAAGGAAGAAGGAGAGAAGGAAGGAAGGAAGAAGAGAAAGAAGGAAGAGAGGGAGGGAGGGAGGGAGGGCTGGAGGGAGGGAGGGAAAGGGAAGGAACCGGGGAAAGGAATAGAATCCTGAGAGAATCTTAAATGTGAGAAATGAACTGAGAAAGAACTAGTAAAAGATCTGGGAAACAGTAATGAAAAACAGAGGAGCAAAGGAGTGGTATCATTTGAGCAAAGAAGAAAATAATTTTTAGTAGGAGGCTCTTCTCATTATAAGAGAAACACTCTAGAGAAATCAGGTACCAGTGATAAAAAAACTGAGTTTCTTTGCCCTTTTTTTGTACCATAGACCTCTTTAGTAGTCTAGTGAAGCCTATGGACCCCTTCTCAAAAGAATATTATTAAATATATAAAAGACAATACATACAGTAATAAATAAAACTACTTACAGTTACTGAAATATTAAAAGATCATACTATAGTCATATATGAGTTGCATTATTAATGCCTTAGGTAACAAGATCAATCAGGAGGTCCACAAAACAATGTAATTTCTCAGTAGTGATGAAGGAAAACAGGGCTTTAAGATACCTGCAATACAACTGTAATGTGATATGGAAATATCTGTAGATATTATTGACACTACCATGGTTTGTTGCCTACATTCATAATTGAAGGAAATAGTAAATTTCAGTCAGAGGTTAGTGAAAATAAAGTATTTTCCCCATCCAAATTCCGAGCCCCCAGGTTAGGGGCCCCTCACCAAGTAACCAAATTGGTAATGAGGTCCTCACTGAGTTTTGCCAAAGCAGTTGCAGGCAAGTGGCAGAGGCAAAAACCAGAGCGAAATGATGAGAGAAAGGGAGGAGGGGAAAAGGAGGCCATGATTACAGGCTCCTCTTTCGAAGCGTTTTTGTGGCCAAATAAATGAAAAGGCTTGGAGTAGCTTGAAGGAGAAGAAATATCTAGGGGACATAGAAATAGAACATGCCATCTTCTTGTGACCCAAAAAGTAACGTCAGGAACGAGGCTAAATCACTGTTGGAAGTAGTTCCTGCCTCGTGCACAGAGGGCAATAGATCAGGCCGGGGAGTTACCAACACTGGTTTTAGCAACGCAGGGAGATGGCAAAGATCTGCACAGCCTTGGAGTCAGAATTGCGGGAAAGAAGAGACAATGCCACAGGATTCTTTTTCTCTGAAAAATAACTCTCATTGTTTAGAATAGGACAGGTAATGGCACCAGTCTGAGATCTCCACTCTTCATGCAGTGCTGACTGTAGAAAGGACCATAAAAAGAATTCTTCTAGTTGGTGGGGAAGACGGAATGGGGAAACCTGCTCCAGACATAGCCTTTCTTGTATAGATGAGAGATGGACAAAGGGCAACAAAAGTTATTTAGCCTAGTATTGTTCTGGATCAAGATTGAGTACAATCAACAGCTAGCTTTTGATATCTGAAGCAAGAGAACCTGAAAAAAAATAAGGAGTGTGCATATAAGAGATATAAGAGAGAGATTTTAAAAAATGAGTAGCAAGACAGACCTAACTCATTAAACACAGAACCAAACCGAAATAAAAATAGAAAAAGTTACGGCTTCTTAATAACCATTGTTTTCTAGCCAAGGACATTTAAAAAAGGCTTCTAACATCTGACAGGCTGTGCAGCAGGAGCCTTCTGAGGGTTTGGGGGAAAGTGGACAGAAGGAAAGCTGTGTAGATATGCAAATACCCTATTCAAATCCAGGCTTCGTTTTCCTGCAACTGAGGGTAATTAAGTGGTTAGAGAACCGCCTGTGAACCTCCTCTTCTCCTCAGAAACAATCGAGGATTTGTTGGCTAGTTGACTTCATCCGGCCTAACCCAGACCAAGATAAATCCAATTAAACATCCACCGACACAAAAACCAGAGCTTGTGCGATACTGGGAGCGACTCACAGAGAGCCTGGGGGTGGGGGGAGCTGGAATTCTTGTGCAATGCTTTATACTCTGAGACGGGAACTCATAAGAGGTCTTTGGGCTCTGGCAGAACCTAAAGGAACAATTACGCCATAATTGAACATTGATAATTGAACATTGTTTATGATGTTCAATGTTCACTGATAATTGAGCATTGCTTATTGCTTTTCTGTGCAAGGAGTTCACAGCCCTTTACAGAAGGGACCTCCACCAGCCTCACCACACCTCTGTGCTCTCCACCAGCCAGACTGCGCTATCAGCCCACATTCCAACTCCAGAGCCAGTGAGTAAGGGGATTTGTTCAAGGTCACCCAGCAGATGGAGGCCGAGCCTTGGGTAACACTAACTCCTAACCTTCCATCTTATCGTTCATGGCACTGTTCATCTCAACCTGTGGGTTCCAGGGAAATCTCATAAAAGCAGTATTTTATGAGTATTCAAGGTCATCCCTTGTGGGACCCACCTGGAATTCTCAAGAGGATCTCACACAGGGGTTAAGAAAGAAAGATCGTATTTTTCCAAACCTAACAGCTTGTGTTTCTAACACCCCACCTTCTAGCTGCACAGAATAAACCAAGGCTGGATTCCTGGAGACAATGTGGACTGAATGCCACGTATAAGCCAGAGAGTTCTGTGCTCTGAAGGAAGATGACACTCAGCTTTCGGGTAACCCCAGATCTCAGGAATCAAGTCTCCAGTGAAGCACAGGTACCCTTTGCTCCCAAGAGCTCCTGGCTGCAGTTTGAGGCTTGCTTTGGAGATTAATGGTCTCCTCACTCGGCACTCTCCGCCTCATTTAGTAATCAGTGTATCCTGTGAAAACACAAACAAGTGAAGCTCCTGCTCTTAAGAGGTCAACCCAGGGAAGGGGAGATGAGGTCAGACTGCTCTCAGGCAGGGAAGTCAGGAGGACTTTTGCTCAGTCTTGGCACAGACGCTTCACATCCAGAACAGAACAGAGGGCCTCCATCAGGCAACCGTGAACTCTGACCCACCTGCCCTCAGCAAATGTGCCCGGTGTGACAAAGTAACTATGTCATAAGGTTTGAGAAACAAATGTGTTCTGTTTATGCCTCTCCTGGTAAGAGGACAGATGGAGTGGGAGGAAAGGGGCAGGAGGTGAGCACAGGTGTCTCCAGGTATACTTACCTGGAGGTTCCACCCTCTGCAGTTTTCTCCCCTCCGTCTCTATTATTTATTTTATCTCAAAGTCAGCCGGAAGCCAGAGCGTCTGGAGGATTTCACTTGGCTGCCATGAGACTGCCCGCGTACCCCCTCGCAGTTGCCCAGGACGTACAAGCACTGATAGTCACATGGCCTTTAAAAGGCACCTCCTGCATCTAGGGGCTTGCTTTTGCCTGGAGCCAAAGCCACTTTGATGATATAAAAACGCCCAGGAGGTCCTGTGGGTCAAGGTCTCAAATGGGATGGAAGAAAGAACAAGAAGAGATGCTGCAGTCCAAACGAGCAGACCATGAGGTGCACCGCGACCATCAGCCGCGGGGCTGCAGCAAGCTATTTATGGCCACCCCCCATCCCCACGTAGTCGCTTTAGTACCAGTCACGCTGCACAGGGGCCTTTCAGTCAATGAGGGACTGCATAAATGAAAGTGGTCCCATAGGATTCTAATATCATATTTTCACCTTTTCTATATTTAGATAAACAAGTACTTGCCACTGTGTTCCAGATGCCTACAGCATTCAGTATAGTAACCTGCTGTAAGGTTTGTAGCCTAGAGTGATAGGTACCATCTAGCCTGGGTATAGTAGGCTATGCCATCTAGGTTTGTGTAAGTTCACTCTGTGATGTTCTCACAATGCAGGAGGAAAGGGGCAGGAGGTGAGCACAGGTGTCTACAGGTGTACTTACCTGGCAATTCCACCTTCTATTGTCTGTAGCCTAGAAGCAATAGTCTATACCATCTAGCCTAGGTATAGTAGGTTATATCATCTACCTCGGTATAGTGGGCTATACTGTCTAGGTCTATGTAAGTAGACTCTATGATGTTTGCACATTGACAAGATCACCAAACAACACAATTCTCTGAATGCATCCCTGTTGTTAAGCAACGCACAACCGTACTTAACATGTGCCATATAATCAAAGCGGCCAAAGAGAACCAACCCTATTTTCACCATCTGCTGTTGTGAAATAAAACGGTCACCTGGAAACGTTTACAATATGATGACTAAATATGCATTCTGGGACCCTTTCTACAAAGAAATGGGACGGGAACCTCCCACTCGGCCCTTGCCCTCCCAGAGGCACATTGCCCAGGGATTCCTTTGTCTCCTTGGGGCCTTGCCAAGTCTGATGTGCCAGTCACCAATCTAGGCCAAGTTCACACTTATCTCTCCACTCCTACCGAGGTGAAAGGGCCCTGGTGAAGAAACAGTCAGGCACACAGCTCTGCTCCCAATCCAAGACACGTGTTCAGCAGAAAGCTCTCTGCTGTACTCTGGTCGCTTGACCCCTGCCCACCCCCAGCACCCTGCCCTGGGAGCTCCAGTGCTTTCTCCAAACCTGACACTTGCCTCCAGCTCCAGTCTGAGCTTCTCCCTCTGCTGACCATGCCCATCTTGTCATGGTTCCTCCCCAGAAGCACAGAAGACTTTCTCATCTCTCAGGACAGCCAGCCCTCCTCTTAGGCATTAGATCCCAAGGGACTTCCCTTCCATGACCATTCCTTCTCTGCATCTGTATCCCAGCCCTTGCTAGAGCCGTGGCCCTTCTGTTCTCTTCATTTCAGGCATGGGCATGGGGGGAAGGCCCTCTGAGCTGCTTCCCTCCTTCCTTCTCAGACAACCTTTGGCTCAAGTCATCTCTACCCATCCCTTTCCTCACACTCTTGCCTTCCTTACCCTCAGGCAATCCGGCCCACACCTCCTCGCATTCCTGGAGCTGCAAGCTCTCAATTGTCAGCAGTAATCTTTGGCCCCATCCAGTAATAATCTTTTCTCACTTTTCATTTCACAATTTGGTAACACCCATCAGCACCTCCACCCCTCGAATGTCACCAATTTTATTTCTATGGCATTGCCCTCATGGGTTTATTCCTACCTGGGTATTTCCCTTCTGCCTCCTTTACTGCTCCTCTTCTAAAAGCAGGAGCAGAATGATCCATCTCCAAGGCTCATATTAATCCTCAGCTTTGTATTTTTCTCTTCATTCTCCTGCTCTGAGATATCCCATTGATCCTCACTGCTGATAGAACAAAGTTCATTATCCCGGCCTTTAAGGCCATTATCATTGCACATGACCCTGCCAGCCAGCTCTACCTCCCACTTTTCCCTTCTACTCCAGCCAGGCTGCTTGTCTCCAGCCTGGACCACAGATGTGAATGTTTTTGTCAACTCCAAGGCTCTACCTGGGCCACGTCCCTTCTACTTCCCTCCTCTCTACTCAAATCCTACTCCCGTTCCAAAGTCTAGCTAAACTCTCATCTTTTCCCCACTTGAATTATTAATGCACAGAAAACAGAGAAGGTGTCTCATACTCTTGCATATCCCATCAGTTTATGGTATACATATGGAAGCCAAACGTATAAAAACTCGTTCAGCCAAACATACACAAACTCATTTAGTACATATCTACTTAATCTATGCATCCTTTTGTCTTGACCATCACAGCAACAAGCACAATGTGATACAATTCTGTTCAATTATTGCTTACTTTGCAAACATTGGTAATTATAGTGTCTATTGTCATACATTATGGTTTTTATCTCATCGATTTAGGTGTACGAATTTCATACTAAATAGACCCATTTGTTTCCTGCTACTTGTTGGCAGGGATTGGGGTAAAGTGTCACAGCTCGTAGCAGTGTTTCACACTTGGCCTGAAGCAAACGACTTACGCTGTGGTTTATCTGAGATGACATTAGGCGGGCTTTGCCTTTTTTTTTTTTTTTTTTTTTTTTGAGATGGAGTTTTGCTCTTATCGCCCAGGCTAGAGTGCAATGGCGTGATCTCGGCTAACTGCAACCTCGGCCTCCTGGGTTCAAGCAGTTCTCCAGCCTCAGCCTCCTGAGTAGCTGGGATTACAGGTGCCCGCCACCACACCCGGCTAATTTTCATAATTTTAGTAGAGATGGGGTTTTGCCATGTTGGCCAGGCTGGTCTGGAACTCCTGACCTCAAGTGATCTGCCCACCTCGGCCTCCCAGAGGACTGAGATTACAGGCATGAGCCACCACACCCGGGGTTATCTAGAGCTTTCCATTATGCATAGCTAAGCCTACTCTTACCTGTCACACCTATCCAAGAGTCAAAACTTATCATTCAGTTCATAACTTCTAGAAACTTCAAACCAAAATCCTGCCAATATCTGTGTATGCTGCTCTGCTCCAAAAGACCATGTATGTGCCAATTCCCGTCTTTGTAAATGAAATGAATCCACGGCTCTTTTTAACAGAACAGGTTAAAATTGTACTTTTGTCATTCCCCATCTCTATTCTTCTTTTGTGAGTTTCTCCATTCAGATGAACAGGAGGCTGAGCAGTGCCATGGAACCTGCAGGCAACGTGGAGTAAGAGAAGCCCAAGTTGACACTCATCTCTGCCCTTTGTCAGCCATGTGACCCTGAGTAAATGACATCTTGTGTTCAAAACGTGGGGTAATTTCCATTTTAATCATCAAAACCCCACTGGGAGCTGGGCACAGTGACTCACGCCTCTAATCCCAGCACTTTGGAAGGCTGAGGCGGGCAGATCACTTGAGGTCAGGAGTTTGAAAGCAGCCTGACCAACATAGTGAAACCCTGTCTCTACTAAAAATACAAAAATTAGCCAGGTGTGGTGGTGTGTGCCTGTAATCCCAGCTACTCGAGAGGCTGAGGCAGGAGACTCATTTGAACCCAGGAGGCAGAGGTTGCAGTGAGCCAAGATCACATCACTGCACCCCAGCCTGGGTGACAGAGTAAGACTCTATCTAAAACAAAACAAAACAAACAAACAAAAAACCCTGTTGGGGTTACTGTGAGAATTAAGTGATAGGAATATGTTTTCAAAAGCCTAGCCAGGGTCTGATGTGTGGTGGGGGTTCAATAAATGCTTAGGACATCTAAAATAAAAAGAATATTGAAGCAGAGCATTGTGGCTCATACCTGTAATCCCAGCACTTTGGGAGGCTGAGGTGGAAGGATCACTTGAGCCTGGGAGTTCAAGGCTGCAGTGAGCCATGATCGCACCATTGCACACTGGCCTGGGCAATAGAGTGAGACACTGTCTCAAAATTAAAAAAAAAAAAAGACCACAGAACATACACCTCCCAAGTGACTAATTTCTAATCAAATAATTAACAATTTCCTTTTTTAGGCAGAGAGAATTGTGCCCCTCACACATGTCAGGGTCTTTTGTACATCTGGATACTGAGGCTGTTAGCCTTGCAACCTGAGGGCCATGAGGTCCAGCTCTCTCATAGGCAGTAAAGACTCATGGAGAGCTCAAGACAAGAGCCATCATTTGGTACAAGTTCAAGAGTGTGGAAGATCACCTGCAAAGATGACCACCAATCATCCTCTCAACGTCGTGCACATGTGAGCGAGCATGCCATGCGAGAGACAGACTCGTTCCCCTCCACTTGCATCTCGCTTTGACCAGTAGAACACAGTAGAGTCTCATCGTGTGACTTACAGGTCTAGGTAAGAGGCCTTGCTAGTTCTCTTTTCTCTCTGAGAAACCAGCCACCAAGTAAAAAGCTTAGGCTAGATTACTTACCAAATGATGACAGAATGCCTGGAGACAGGTCACACGGAGGAGAACCAAGGTATCCCACTGACAGCCAACACTCGACCCCAGACCATGACAGACCCTCCCCCAGCCAACTCTCAGATCGACAAACAAGTGGCTCCAGCTCACAGCAGGAGAAGCAGAGCCTCCTACCTGATCACAGAAGTATGAGAAGTAACAAAGCATTGTTGTTTTAAGTCCCTAAGCTTGGGGATGGCTTGTTACACAGCTTGTTACACTGATACAAAAGAGAGTGTTACCCCCCATGGTTCTCAGACACAGGACACAGGATCCACCATGTCAATGCCTCCCTCCAGGAGACACCCAAGCCTCGACCACAATCAGGGAAGATGCCTACCTGTATTTTCAGCTTCTGCTTGAAGATGCTTACTTAGCCCTGGGTACCCATCCTCTTTGAGCTAACTGCTTTAGGCTCTCCTTTGAGCTTGTTTTTATTATTAGTTTCTATCTTGTATATTAACTTTAAAAGAGCAAAGAAGAAATAACTTGCAGGGAAGAGCCATGAAGATAACCCAAGCCCGAACAGAGGAGCCTGGATGGATTTCCTCACCATTAATTGGCTCTGCCAATTCACTATAGTTAAATTCCCATTTTCCACTCCTAAGTGAATTTCTTATTACTAAACTCTGTAGTAAAAATAATAATAGCTCACATTTATTGCATTCTTAACATGTGTAAGGCACTGTGCCAAGCGTTTCAGAAGTATGGTTTCATTTAATTTTTTAAACAACTAAATGAAGCACATCCGATTCATTCATTTATCAAATATTAATCAGCCGGGCACCGTTCCAGGTACTGAAGATACATAAATAAACAACATTGACAGAGACCCTGCTCTCGTGGCGCTTGCATTCCATGTTGGAGACAGGCAGGAAATGCATAGTGTGTAGGAAGGTGAGAAATTCAAACGACAGAAGACATACAGGAGAATAAGAGCCTTCCAAATCAGGTGACATTTGAGCAGGGAGTGAGGGTGTCAGCCTTGGGGATGGATATATGGGAAGAACACTCCAGGCAAGTACCATTTCCTGAGCCAGGAACACTCTTACTGTGTTCTAGGAGCAGCAAAGAGGTCCAAATGGCTGGATCAAGAATGTTTAGTGGTGAGGCCAGACAGGTACCAAGGAGCCGGATTAAGGAGGGCCCCCTATGCCACGGTAAGGACTCTGGCTTTATTCAGAATGAGCTGGGAAGGCACGGGAGACTTTCCATCTCACCTTTTTAAAAAATTACTCTGGGCCAGTGGCGGTGGCTCATGCCTGTACTTCCAGCACTTTGGGAGGCCAAGACTGTTGATTGCTTGAGCTCAGGAGTTTGAGACCAGCCTGGGCAACATGGTGAGACCCCATCTCTATAAAAAATACAAAAAAAAATTAGCCGGGCTTGGTGGCGCATGCCTGTGGTCCCAGCTACTGGGGAGGCTGAGGCGGGAGGATTGCTTGAGCCCAGGAGGTTGAGGCCACGGTGAGCCGAGATCGAGCCACTGCACTCCAGCTTGGGTGACAGAGTGAGAGACTGTCTCAAAAATAAATAAATAAATAAAAATAAAATCACTCCGGCTACTGTATAGCGGGGAAGGGAGACCTCTTCAGAGACTAATGCAATAATCAAAGTGAAATACAAGGGTGACTTGGACCAACGTGGTAGCCCAGGAAGTAGGGAGAAGCTGCAAACTTCCTGAAATCTCTGGAAGGCAGGGCTGCCCAGATTTGCGGTGTTTGGGATATGGAGGTAGGAGAGAGAGAGAGCTCTATTGTGTTAGCATCTTTATGCCCGTTTTACAAATTTGTAAGTGAAAGGCAGAGTAACTTGCCCAAGAGGATACAGCCAATAAATGCAGAGCCACATCTCAAATCAGGATTGGTTTGATCCAAGAGCTCATCCTCTTCCCCACACTGCCCTACTGCCTCATGTTTAAAACCCCTAAGCCGCCTAAGTTGGAAATTCCATGGGTCAAACTGTCCCAATTCTACTCTGCCCTCTCCACACATAAGATAGAAATAAGCCAAATCCCTGTGTCATTCAGCAGATTGCTGAAGTAGTGCCATGCCCCTGTGACTTGAATGACCTCTCCTCTGCACGGGAAATACAAGACCCAAAGCCATACTGAGGGATGCGGACAAGCGCTTGGCCCAGCCACAGCAGGCTGCACCAATTACCAGGGATTGCCTAAAATCTGGGCAAAGGCTTTTCTCTCTGGCTAGGCTGCCAAACAATTCCTCGTATCTGATTACCTAAAGAGAGCAGAATAACAATTCATAAAACCATCACAGAGGAGACTTAAGAAACAGCTCGTTTTTAAGTGTTAAAGTGGCCTTATCATAACCTGCCACTCAGTAATATTAAATTTGATATTGGAAATGAAGTTTTCCACTAACAATTTCCACGAATGGAAGAGCTCTGATTCTCTTATTCTGCCTGGAATTTTTCTTGCTGGGGAGCTTTCGCAATGTGATGCAGCAGTAATACAAGTGTGTGTGCGCGGCTGCTTTTTAGAAGAGGTGTGTGTGTACAAAGGCCTTTGCACACGAAAAAAGTCCCGGTCATGACCCTGATGCACTAGGTTTGGAATTTTTTTTTTTATTCGTGTAAAGCCTCATTAACATTCTCCAACATAAAATATTTTTAGTAAGAGCCAAGTTCCCTTCCCCCACTTTCAAATTTCCTGTCACCAAAGTTGAAAACAAAAGGGCCTTCTATGAATCTCTCTCCCTTGCTTTCTTTCCCTCTCCTTCCTCTCTCTCTCCTCTTTCCAAAGCAGAGGACTCCAAAATTTTCAGCTGCAAAGCCTTGGAGACCCCAGAGATTCAACTGTTAAGAATACCAATTTCCGACTGAGGACTCACATGCAAAGGGAGTGAAGGATAACTGACATCACAATTTATTGCCCCCAAAACAACTTTCTCAACTCCAAGCAAAACCATAATTATGGGTGAGAAAGACACTCCCTGTTAACTGGCTGTGAAAGAGTGATTTACAATGCATTCTTCCTCACAGTGGAAGGCCTCTTGGCAGTCACAAATACAGGTTTTGTGTATTCAGAAGCAAAGCTCAGAGGAGCAGAAGAGAGTAAAAAGGACATTCTGCACGGGAAGTGTGCCCCTTTCCACCGCATTTATCCCATAAAGTCCCAGCACTAAGAGCTCTTGGAAAATTCCCCATTAGGAAAACAAACTTGCACCATGATCAGGACAAAGACTGACCCCTTTTTTTTTTCTTTCTTTCTTTTTTTTTCTCTTAAGTAGTTTCCTATCTATTGAAATCTGCTAGTTGGTTTATAGTTTATGGGAAGACAGCAGTGGCACAAATGAGGAAAATGCTAATACAATTTTAAGTTATAGAACCACATGGACCAGCCCAGCTCGGTGGCTCACGCCTGTAATCCCAGCATTTTGGGAGGCCGTGGTGGGCAGATCACCTGAGGTCAGGAGTTTGAGACCAGCCTGGCCAACATGATGAAATCCTGCCTCTACTAAAAATACAAAAACTAGCCAGGTGTGGAAGTGCATGCCTGTAATCCCAGAGACTCGGGAGGCTGAGGTGGGAGAATCGCTTGAACCCAGAAGGTGGAGGTTGCAGTGAGCCAAGATTGTGCCATTGCACTCCAGCCTGGGCAACAGAGCAAGACTCTGTCTCAAAATAAATAAATAAATAAATAGAACAACATAGACCTAACCTTGCCAGAGATAGACAATTTAAAGTGGTATTAAATTCTTGTATCTGAGAGAACTATCAAGCGTTAAACCTAAAACAGCACTGTAAGATAAGCAGGCGTCTAAGAGTATGCTTTCCTAACATGACCAGGAAGAGAGGCTCAATAGAGACATGGCAGGAGACTTTAGAAAATGAAAAAGGCAGGAGAAAGTAAAGGAGTCCAAAGAAAGGAGAACCAAGCCCAGGGACCGGAGCTTCAGAGGAACCGCCTAGAAAGAAACTGCCTTCCAGCAGGAAGCCTTCTTTCCTAGAATCCCCGCCCAAGGCAGCATATTTCCAGAAGGTACTGGGTCAAGAACCCAGTGAGCTTCCCCCCAAACCTTAAGAGCTTCTTACATATGTATCTTAATATTTCCAATCAAAGCAGGTGCCCCCAGTGCAGAAGCACAGCATTCCATTTCCTTCTAAGACAGACATGATCTCCAGATAGACTCCGCCTTTGCAAATTCCTTCCAGAGCATTGGGAATTAGTCCATTTTGTGACTATTGGGAAACGGTCCTATATTAAGGGAGAAATGGGTATGGATTACAATTTTCTGCCCTGAGTTGTCTTTAGGAGGCATGAATGGGTATACCCAGAGAGGAGGAAAAGGATGGGATTTAGAACAAAATGAAACTTAGGATTCAAACACAGTCTGTCTTTGAGCAAGAAACTTAAACCCTGAGCCTTATCTGTTCCATAGGGTTGAAATAATTATATTGAGGACCTGCTGTGGATATGACATGAGGTGCCTGGCGCCAGATCACCACTAAGTTGGTGTTCAGTGCCAGGGAGGTGGGTGTGGGCCCCCTCCTATGCTGCAATACCAGAGTTAATTGCCCTAAACTCAGACACGTGACTCCGCAGTAAACAGAGCTAAGGAGTGGTTGGCTATGTTGGCTGTGCTGAGGCTTAGAATGAGAAGAAAATAAACTATGGAAAAGAAATAGATGGTCCCGTGTCAAGAAGATCTGATTAAACAGGAGAAAAGGAGGGTGACAGCAACTCTCAGCCCATCAGCACCCCAACCAGAGCCTTGGATCATGGAGAGGGCTGTCAGGCGCAGGACAGGATGCCCAGTGACCTTTGAATTTCTAGTGAGCAAGGAATAATTATTCTAGTATAAGTATGTCCCAAAAATTGCATGGGCAACCTTTTACTAGAAATTTTATTTGCTGTTCATCTGAAATTCAAGCATAACTGGGCATCCCACATTTTTATTTGCTAAATCCTTCAACCCTGATCACCATTGCTTTGATCCACCAAAAGCAATGCAGAACGAGAGCCAGAAAAGTGTTTGAAAAGCCAGCAAAGAGAATTTCAGGGAGCCCATCATTCACTTTGCCGCCATTGACTCCAGAATGTCCTCCCGTGCCTATTCCTAGACAGCATCAAGCGGCTGGGACAGAGAGAGTGGAAAAGAACCCAAGTATGGGGAAAAACAGAGGCGGGTTTGGAATAAAGACAAAGAGGAAGGAAAGAAGAGAAAGGAAAAGCAAGAAAGAGCAGGAAGAAGGGAGAAAGAGCAGGACAGAAGGAACTCAGGCAGACAGACGCACAGACCTCCTCAGCTAGTTTGAAAAGATAATCTGAGCTTGCAATGCACCATAGACTATGTTCTTATAAGAATAGATATGAAACTCATTTCCTGCCACCAGGTGCTGGGGAAAAAGTCTATCATTCACTGCTCCTTTCCAGAACACAGGGAGTGAAGGAGCAAGGTTTCATCATCATTGCAGCAACTGCTAAGCCTCTCAGGGCACTGGGACACCGCTTAGGTTCCACGACAAGAGGCTGGGCTTTCTGCACTCAAATGGCCGCTCCTCTCTAGACACCTTATTGCATTTCCACAATCGCTACGTCTCTTCCCATCTGGGGAAATAAGTCCACCACGGCCTTCTCCCGCCTCATCGGGTCCTAGGTGGATCCTCTCGTAATCCAAGATGTAAATCACACCTGTGAGTTGTCAGCAGTGATTTCTCTTTCCCCAAAGCCTGTACTGCAGGCTAAGCCAGGGAGGTTGTGGGAGGTGCAGAAAATAAATTGGGGCAATGGGATCTTCCCTTAGGAGTCCACAGGCATGGGTTGAATGGACACAGAAGAAGGCCTGAATCCTTCAAAGAGCAAAGTGCAAATGAATACAAGACAGAGTCGATCTGAAAAAAACACACCCTCTAGGTCACAGGGAGTATTCAGCCATTCGTGGCATTTTCAGACTTTCCCCACTTCATAAATATAAAGGAAGCTAGACCCGCGACTTGTGCAGGACAAAGGAATCCCATGGCCCCAGTTGCAAGCAAAACAGTGGTTTGAAGCCATGAAGAAAACACCAATTCTTGAATTTCCTCCTTCTTGCTGTGGGAAATGTATAGCTGATGAAGCCCATTCCCTTGTCCACAACCCACACATATCACGGAGCAGAAAACGCCAGTCTGAAAGTCAAAGGAAGAAGGTAGGGGAGGAAATTGCAAGGTCAAAGTGACTGCCTCGGGAAGTCTGATTACTCAACATGTTTAAAGCATTATTAGACGGTCTGGAAGTTGTAGACACAGAATGGGGGGAGGGGGTCCAAGGAGCTGCAGAAAAAGGAGGGGCTGTAAACTCGAGAGTCCCTCCTGGAGTTTTACTGAACTGCCTGCAACACTCCGGGGTGCAAGTTAAGAGAGAGCAAATGGGCAAGGAATCAGCCAGCCACATACAAAAGGAAAGGAGTGTCGTGTAGAAGTTAATTGTGGCCGTCAGAGATGAGTGGGTACATGGGGAGATTCATTTAAAATTAACGAGGCATTGGTTGCATTTTATAGGTCTTCCTAGGTAGGAAAATCACATGCCAAAGGGGCAGGAATGGAATGGCTCCACAGAAGTGTTTCCTGACCAACCCTTAAGCCAAATGGACAGGCATTGGGTCTCCGCATCAGAGAAGCACAAAGATCTGTGGATTCCAAGAGCCAAGGACAGGAGAGGGGACCCATCCATATGCATGGGCTGGAGCCAATCCAGAAGAGGCCACAGCAGTCCTGGGGAGAGGCCAGGCCATGAGGCCCCGAAGACCTACATGCTTGAAGCTGAACCATTTGCTCTCCTTGCTTGAGACCCCAGTGTGACAAAGACCTCAATGACAGCTGTGTTTGATCTTCTCCTTCTTAATATTGCCACCTTCAGAGTCAGAAACAGTGTGAATAACTCACCCAGGCAGTGCCAATAACTGCTTGGCATGGATGCTTCTAGATAGGCACAGATGCTTCTAGAATCTTACTTGGGATGTGGGTGGGGGTGTCTCCGTCAGGATGATCCTGATTCAGAAAACTTAGGCTAGGAGTTGCCTCCTCTGGGAAGGCTTTCCTAAATAAGAGAGAGACCCATTTTCTCTCTCTTATGCCCCAGGTATAAAGAGTTGCTCCCCACTTTGTGAATTTCATTCATATTCCTATCTCATTTGCTTGAATTTTTTTTTTTACTACTGTTTGATTCAAGAGTCAGAACTTTGTCTTATTTTTTCTTTATACCCACCACATAGCATAATGAAAGCTCCATAAAGTTATCCATAGGTAAAGGAATGAAAAGACAGAGCAAATTTCTAATTCTGGTAACTAACCAGAGACGAAGATAAAACAAAACAAAACAAAACAAAAATATGGAGGGGAGGGGGATAATTCAGGAGGAAAAAAAAATGCACATGTCCCAAAACTTTAAGCTAAGAAGGAAAGAGGCTGGGTGCATTGGCTCACGCCTGTAATCCCAGCACTTTGGGAGGCTGAGGCAGGAGGATCACCTGAGGTCAGGAGTTCAAGACCAGCCTGGCCAACATGGTGAAACCCTGTCTCTAGTAAAAATACAAAAATTAGCTGGGTGTAGTGGCGGGTACCTGTAATCCCAGCTACTGGGAAGGCTGAGGCAGGAGAATCACTTGAACCTGGGAGGCGGAGGCTGCAGTGACCCGAGATCACGCCATTGCACTCCATCCTGGGCAACAAGAGTGAAACTCTATCTCAAAAAAATAAAATAATATAAAATAAAATAAGAAGGAAAGAGAGTGTGGTAATGGACAAGCCATCCAGCAATATTCTCCACTGAACTGGAACCGTGAGACTGCTAGCACTGGGCTGGGAAATTAGGACAGAAAAGAAATTGAAATAAGGAGACAAAGCACTTATCTCTTAAGGTAACAAAATTTCCCGCTGCTAGAAAATAGAGACTCATAAGACCATCAGGAACCAGAAACCATGCAAATAGCCACGGTCTCATCTAGCTCCCAAATGCTTTGTTCCTAATGCCAAGATGTCTAAAATTATAACTAACTGCCTACCAGTTGATTTCTCATCAAACCCACCTGGTGAAGAAACCCGAAATAATGGAAGAAGAATCAACCAACAGCTCCTCCTTTTCCTCTCTAAAGAAAAGAACTTGCAGTGTTCAGGTAATACTCACAATTGAGAGAGGAGGAAATGAATTATTCTGACCAGACGTCAGGATTCAAAGTAATAAACTACAGACTCAAGGCGGGGGGCTGCATTCCAAGCAGCATACTGGTCAACCCTTTCTTCCCCTAAAGAACATACCCACTAGCCAGCATGCCTTCTTCCTCTTTATTCAATTGTCTTTCCACCTGCATAAAAATGTACACATTTTGAGCCTCCAGGGTAGGGAAAGTGTCTTCCATTTCTTTCATAGGTAGGAAAATCACACACCAAGGGGACAAGAGATAGGGTAAACTCCCCTATCTCTTAATAAAAGTTAGCATCATGGTAGGTGTTTCAGGCTGCATGACCAAAGACATGATGTGTACTGGGGAAGACAAGCAGTTTAGGGTTGTCATTCTGAGGGTAAAGCTGAAAAGAATGACAGGAATCGGATGAGAAGACCACAGGGGCCACACAAGAGGCTGTGTCTTCACTCTAAGATATGGGAGCCATTAAGAAGGATCAGCAGGAGGTCATGAGGCCTTATCTCAGAGGATGACTCCTTTGGGGGTAGATTTGGGGGCCATGGTAAGAGGACCAGCAAGGGCTGAGGAGACCCTGAGCTGCGTGGGCCCTGCAGCAGAAGTGAGGAGGAGAGAGGCAAATGTGTTGTGTGACAGGCACTGTCTAAGCCTGCAGGGGGGACAAAGATGAATCAGGCAGTTTCTTCCTTTAGGCTCTAGGGATGGTCAGTGTATTAGTCCATTTTCACATTGTTAGAGGGTAACTTATAAAGAAAAAGAGGTTTAATGACTCCCATTTCCACATGGCTGGGGGACCTCACAATCATGGCAGAAGACCAAGGAAGAGCAGAGGGACTTCTTACATGCCGGTGAACAAGAAGAGGATGTGTGCAGGGAAACACCTCTCTATAAATCCATCAGATTTTGTGAGACTTACTCTCTATCACGAGAACAGCAGCACGGGAAAGACCTGCCCCCATGATCCAATTACCTCCCACTGGGTCCCTCCCACGACACATGGGAACTGTGGGAGCTACAATTGGAGATGAGATTTGGGTGGGGACACAGCCAAACCACATCAGACAGACTGTGAGTTGCCTGTAGATCCAAGTGCCAGCATCACTGATATGATCTTGGTTGACTCCGAGGGCAGACTCTCCTTGTAGATAAAGGTGGCACTTTCTCCTCCTTAAGGAAATCAATGTTCCCATGTCAGCCATGTTGGGCCACAGAGAGTGAGTGGGCTTGGAGGGCAGGACCATCGTGGAGCCCACTGAAGGAGCATGGGGAGTTCTCCATGCATATGCAGAGAAGCAGGGAGAGGAAACGTGGAAGTCTGCTGAAAGCTGGGCAGGGAACTGAAGCTGGGTTCAGGGGCTGTTAGCCCTGACAGAACCCACTGCTGGGGTGAAAAAAACCCAAGTGAGTGTATGACCTGGAAAATTCTGTGATAGAGGGAAAGAGAGATCAACAGCGTGGCAGTAACAGAGCTGTTTCCTGTGTCAGGTGTGACAGGATCCTACCGGGATGAGTGTGGGGAACAAGTTAGCACTCATCAGGGATACCCAGAAACTATAGAAGAAACCTTAAAGACGGACTGAATTTCTTCCCATTTGGACATCATGGGGCTCTCAGAGTGACTGTGGTTTGAACATTACCAAAAAATGTGAACTTATTTTCATCCCTAAACTGGCAAAGTAGGGTATTCCAGCTCCCCTAGATTTTATCCGTGTAAATGTTCTGTGTTCTAAGGACAGACTCTACTAATACACATGAGTAAATGTTTTTTGTTTGTGGAGTGAGAGGGAGCAAGATTAACCTGAACTCAGAGAAATATTTCCAACTGGGAGCCCCAGCAGAGGCTCTTTGTTCACTCTGACCCTGAGATCAACAAAACAGTCTCTGCTCAAGCGACAATTCCCACATTCAAATTGCCAGAGAAAACTAAACTCAGAAGCTAAGAGCTCCACTTGATTCACTTGAGCGTATTAAAAATCCCTCCTCCCCCACTCGATTTCTCGTGGCTTTATTATATACGATCAAGTGAGCTTGAATGAAACTGTCTCCAAGTCCTCATTTTTATTTCATACTGACAATATTATCTTTATCAAGCTCATATTTCAAGAAGCTTTATTCTACTCTGACTTTCCTGAACCAGGGGAAATTATCTTGTTCCTTCCCTTGGGTTTGAAAGAAAACCTTTCCATAACTAATGTTTATCAGCGGCACAATTTCTTTTGCAAAAAATTGAAACCTTCTTGACATAAAAAGGAAAAGAATACCAAGACTGAGATGATAGAAAGACACCAAGAAAAGCTTAAGGGGAGTCCACGTTTCCAGAAGCTCTGCCCTCTCTATTTCTTCCTGGGAATACTGACCAATGGATCTGGAGAATAGGCCCCTGGCTGGATTCCTATAGGGCCAGGTTTTAACTGTTTCACTTCTGGAACATGGGAAGATCTCTGATAAATGGCAGGGCAGCCTGAGCAGGAAGGGGTGGGTGGAGAGGCAGGTTCTCCAATAAAACAGAGCCAGTAGGATATATACATATACACAGAGAGAAACAGAGACAGAGATTGTGATTTATTTATTTATTTATTTTTGGAGACAGGGTCTCACTCTGTCACCCAGGCTGGAGTGCAGTGGCACAGTCATAGCTCACTGCAGCCTCGATCTCCTGGACTCAAGCAATTCTCCCACCTCAGCCTCCCAAATAGCTGAAACTACAGGTGTGCACTCCCACACTTGGTTAATTCTTTTCATTCTTTTGGTAGAGACAGGGTCTTGCCGTGTTGGCCAGGCTGGTCTTACACTCTTGGCCTCAAGTGATTCTCCCACCTCGGCCTCCCAAAGTGCTGGGATTACAGGTGTGAGCCACCATGCCTGGCTAGAGATTGAGATTTTAAGGAGCTGGCTCATGCTAGTATACAGACTAGCTAGTCCGAAATCCATAGGGCAGACCAGCAGGCTAGAAACTCTTGCAAGATTTGCTGCAGTCTTGAGGCAGAATTCCTTCTTCTCTGGGAAACCTCATTTTTTGCCCTTAATGCCTTCAACAATTGCATGAAACCCACCAGCATTATCAAGGGTAATCTCCTTTACATAAAGTCAACTGGTAGGAGATACTAACCACATCTATAAAACACCTTTACAGCAACAACTAGATGAGTCTTGACTAAATAACTGGATACGATAGCCTAGCTAGGTTGACACATAAAACTGTCACAATGAGGGAGTAGGAAAGAGAGGGCAGGCTCACTCAGGGGATTTGATGCAGCTGCTATTCGCCACCCCATATAGGATTATTTTAATATTTTAAATAGTAGCCCTGGTCTTCTCTCTAAATGGGGTTTCTATAAAAGCTTGTCACCCTTTGTAATTATAGCTACAATTTCCTTTCCTGGTTCTGTAGTGCAGCCTAACAAGAGTTACTGGTGGGAGGAATCAGGACAGAAAGTGGGCACCCAAAACGGGTCTCCAGGAACAACTCCTAAGAGCAGCTGCCCTGCAGTGACGTCAGTGGACCATTCCAAAAGTCTTTGGTCTTCATGGCAAAATCCTGCCCCCAGAATCCATACTCACTCCCAAGTCATTTGGGGGAAACTGCCACCATCACCCTAAGAGGAAAAGCCAATTTACTATCGTCATAGGAACAACAGCTATTTATGGAGAATCTGCCAAGCAATATCTCATGAAACCATCACAGTAAAATTTAAAAGGTAACTTACATCCCTTCTAAGATGAAAAAACTGAAGCTTCCAAAGATCAAGTAGTTAGTCCATCACCATCCACACAGTAAACAGGAGAGCTGGAACTTAAACCCAGCTCTCAGCAATGTTCAAATCAAAATCCATGCTTTTTGCATAAAGTTATGGAAGCCAATCGATGTGATGACTGGAAGTTGGTGTGGGGATTTGGGTTCCTCTAATCTAGGTAGATGGTAAAATATGCCCAATGTTAAAGACAGGCTGTTTCAACCAGAGTAGAATAGTTTTCACTGTTGGTAGTTCATCTCATAACTAAACCTCACACATTATTGGTGGAGTTAATTCTCCAGAAGATCTATGAATTCTTGGTTTTATTTTGGTCCTGCCAAGCTCATAGGTTTCCTTTCAGTTTCATGAGTCTAAGGCTGAAGTTTATAATAGAATGCAAAATATGGTTGACACTTGCTATTAACAATGCGGTACATAACTAAAAATTTATCAGTATGTTTTGCTGCTGTATTATTCTGAATGGCAAGCATCCTCCTTGCCCCCAAAGCAATAATACTTTGATTGTGAACCATTTCCCTTACCAAATATACTCCTTCCCACAGAGAACTGCTACCATGGAAATCTATGCAATAGACTCATTTTTGTGGCATTGCATATCAAACTTGACAACATAATTTTGACATTTGGTAAAAATACATCTTTGTCTACATCTTCATAAGAAGACTTGCTTAAGAGTATTTTTCTCAAATGTTCCTACAGTACATATTTCATGCTGACATCAAAAATGGGGGGGAAAAGGTTGTCTTATTTTTGGTTTTGCTTTATGTGTTTTGGACACCCAAAGAAAAAGTTTTCACACAGTTAAAATGGTACCTAAAGTCAAGTTGTGATGAAAAACTGATTTGCAAGTCCACTTCGTATTCATAATGATCAACTCAGTAATAATGACCCATCTCCCTCTTGCAATATCCCTAACCATGTATGTTCCTTGGCATACTCCCTGAAGCCAAACCCCTTTGGAAAGATTATTCGGCATTGGATTCATGGGAAACAAACTGGACTTATTTCACTCCAAGATATTGGAACCACACATAATAAAATAATGCCAAATTATGCTTGGAACTAGGATATGCATGGTTCCGATTTCTTGTGACAAAATAGTTCCAGATTACAACCGAAGTGTACAATGTGGAATAAATCCTTCCTTATTTTTAGATATTATAATAACTCTAGCATTGCATTAGTTGCAAAAAAAAATAGTTCTTAACTTTACACTGGGCTCTCACTGTATTACTATTTTTTAAAGGGTAAGATTTTGTATAAAAGAGTGTCATAGACACCATCCAAAGAGTGTCATAGACACCATCCAAAGGTGTTTATCTATTGAGGTCACAAAAAGGCCTTATTATGAAATGGTTTCACAGCTAATTCCAAAGCTTGAAAGCTAGGCAGTGTTTCTTAGTAGAGCTTCTCTGAATTCTTTTTAAACATCTATTGAACTTAGTTATTTTTGTTTTGTTTTGTTTTGTTTTGTTTTGCTTTGTTTTAAGAGAGGGTCTCTCTCTGTCACCCAGGCTGGAGTGCAGTGGTGTAATCATAGTTCACTGCAGCCTCGAACTCCTGGGCTCACGCAATCGTCCCATCTCAGCCTCCCAAGTAGCTAGGATTGCAAGCATTTGCCACCATGACCAGCTAATTTTTTATATATTTTTTTGTTGTTGAGATGGAGTTTCACTCTGTCACCCAGGCTGGAGTGCAGTAGCATGATCTCAGCTCACTGCAACCTCCACCTCCTGAGTTCAAGCAATTATCCTGCCTCAGCCTCCCGAGTAGCTGGGATTACAGGCATGCCCAGCTAATTTTTGTATTTTTAGTAGAGATGGGCTTTCACCATGTTGGCCAGGCTGGTCTCGAACTCCTGACCTCAAGTGATCCACCCACCTTGACCTCCCAAAGTGCTAGGATTACAGGCATGAGCCACCATCCTTGGACAATTTTTTTTTCCTTCGTAGAGAAATGTTAACAGCTTACTATTGACAAAATAATCTATCACTTTACTCTCTACCCAAATGGAAATTGCCTCAAGGTTACTTCTGTTTTAATCCCATATATGAAGAAAAATAGAGAGGGGAGACCTCCTTTCAGGCATGTAGGTGAACTACTAATGCCTCAGGAAAGTCCATTTCAATCTGTTATTTTTCAAAACGTCTATCATTGAAGGTATAGCTATGTTAGTTTCTATATCCTGATTCACTCTCTTGTATTCTTTGTCATTATTTTGAGCTCCAACAAAAGGCTAAATAGAAGTGATATGATATCCTCCATGTGTTTATGCCAAAATATTGGCAGAGAGGTTCCTTTGACTGGTACCTGTCTTAGGAGCGATGAGGGAGTACTCTAGCTTATAACACATCTTTCTGTTTATCAGCTCCTTGATCCATCCATCAATCCATCTTATTTTCTTGGTGGATTTCAAAATAAATTGCAGACTTACCTCTGAACATATCAGCATGCATAGCATCAACAGAATTCAATGCAACAAAGAATTTGAGCAGGGAGTGACATGATCAAATTCAGATGTGGGAAAGAACCCAATGCCAGTAGGGAAGATGACAGGCATGAGAAAGGCTTAGAGGCGGGGAACAGGTGGGGGGCCATTGCAAAGGGTTCAGAGAGAGAAGATGAGGGCCTGGACCAGGGCGAGGATGGAACAGGGAGAGAGAAAGGGACAAACAGATAGGAGAATTGACAGCTCTTAATAACTGATTAGACATGGCAGGGGCAGGATGAGGGAGGGAGAGGAATTCACAGTAACTTCCAAATTTCTACCTTGAACAACAGGTAAAATGTGAGGCTGTACATTTAGTTAGGAACTGACTTTAGGTAGTGAAACATATAGGGGGGAGGGTGTAAGATGAATTTTGGATATAATTTTGGGGTACTCATGAGACATCCAGATATAAACTATGGGATAGAGAGATCTCAAATAGAGATACACATTGGAGATTCAGCAGCATTTACAGGGCATAAAAAGTTTTTGTCTAGAGAGGGAGAGTTTGTGATCAGGGCCAAAAACAGCTTAAAGCAGTGCCTGGATTTAAAGGGCAGGTAGGGAAAAGGTACCGATAAAAGAACCTTGAGAAAAAGCAGTTGGTGAGGAAGGAGGAGAACAGGGAAGAATGGGGTCTTGGAAACAAAGGAAGGAAACAGTTTCAAGAACAGGAACTTGTCAACAGTACAAAATGCTGAGAAGGCAAGAGAGGGGTGGGATTGAAAGGAGTCTATAGGATTTGGCAACTTGGAGGTGGATGGTGACCCTGGTGGAAAACAGTTTTCCTGGAGCTGGGAAAATGGAAGCCAAATTTCAGTGGGTTGAGGATTGAATGACAGATGAGGTCATGGAGATAGCACATGAAGACTAATGGTTCTAGAAACCTGGCTATGAGAGGAAGGAGAGAGGTACAGTGTACATATTACAGGAGGATGCAGGGTCATGGACGAATTTGCCTTAAGAGTGGAGCACCTGGATTATACATAAATTAATACCTGTACTAATAAGTTGACACCTAAAATGCATTGCTTTATGTTGACAGTTTTCATTGTGTGGATGTGTGATCTCCCTGGTTAGACATGCACTTCTATAAACATATGGGTCATGTACTGACTGCACGCATGGTCATATAGAAAGTAAGAGCTTGAATGTGACGGAGATGTCTTACTACATCTTTACATCTTACAGCTGAAGAATCTAAAGCCAAAAAAGAGTGAGTAGCTCAACATCATCCAGAGTTAGTTAATAAAGATCCCCCCCAGCACCCTTCACAAAGCATTTTACAGTAAGGAGAAAGGTTTTGGTTTTCAACACAGTTGTATGAAAATTCCAGCCCTACCACTTCAAAGGTATCATTCCTTATCAGTAGATTTCCTTTGTGTGTAATGGGGTTATCTGGATAAAACAAAACCGATCTCCACTTTTACCACCAAATTGGGATTGATGTGTGAGTACAAAATTTTAGGGCAATGTAGTTTTCAATTTCTCTCACTTTTCTACTTTTGCTTCTTTCTGCCCTAGTTAATCGAAAAAGGGAGTTATTTGCATGTTGCTGGAGGGAGACTATTTCTAATTGTTCTGGCCTATTAATAGCAGATGTATAGCAAAGCTTCCAAAGAAACACATGCCTTCAGGACCTCACAGAGTTTCAAGAGTAGTATTCTATGGGTTCATTTTGGATTTCAGGTGATTAATGGATGTGGACGAAACCTTTAACCTTTTCAATTGTCTGCTCCTGCTTCTCCAGCTCCCTCTCCAAGTTCCTTTAATTAGCTAAACTTAAAGCCCTTTTGAATCACCTAATGTCACACAAAAGTACTTGCCCTAGGCAGAGAAAGAGAAGTAACCCAGTTTCGGGGCAACTGATTTATTACATGCAGGGAAACTTCTTGTTAGTTTTCCAAAAGTTATCTCTTCTCTTGTTATTTGGAAAGCACAGCAGTTTTCCACTTCATTCTCCACTGATGGAAAACAGATTTGTCTGACGCCTAGAAGAAGCTCCATTTGCACTGGCGTTTTATTTATTTATTTATTTTTTTTCTTGGTAGACCACTACAATCATTGGCTGTGCACACCTATATTGGACTTGGCTACTGCACCATACTGCACTTGCAAAAATGTTCTTTTCTAGACATGGCAAGAAAAGCCTCTATAAGCTGAACTAATACCATCTGCCTCTCCAAAATGCCTTAATTGTATTGGCAAAAGGAGCACTTCTTATTTTTTAAAGCCTACTGTAACTGGATTGTTAGAGCAGTACCATTAAAAGGATAATGACGGTGTTACCCTCAAATAGATTTTCTTAAAATAATTGCTTTTCCTTACTGAGTGCTGGCACGGCACTCGTGAAATTCTGATGGGGTCAGCGGGTTCTTTGATGTTGCCCACCAGAAGATTGTCTCTTTCCGATCCACTCTCTCTCCTTTTGTTTTTTCCTCATCTACACTCACGTTGGTTTTATTTAGCTACTGCAACTTGTCTTTGCACCTGAATCAAGCCAATTTTTTTTAATGATATAAACAGGTAGCTTTCTCATTGGGCCAGTGTTTGCTGCTTCTTTATTTTGTCTTGATGGAAATCTTTTTATTGTAGGAGTCAAACATTGACTATGAGAGTGTCACCATCTCAGAAATTGACAGGTTGACCATGAAATCACAGGTCTGCATATTCTGCTTCTTATCTTGGGTTATCCTAAGAAGTTGGCAATGACTGGCATGAATGGGGGTATCTGACCCCTGCTAGGAGGGAGTGGACCCCAGGCTCCTCAGGCTGCCTGCCAGGGCTGTTACTCTGGAGCTGGAGAGGGAAATGAGAAGCCTGGTTTGTATGAGGCTTGATTGAGGCTGTGGATATGAAGCAACAGGGAAGCGAAGCCCATGTCTCTGATAAAAGAAGACACTAGAAAGGGAGGTCTGAAACACTAAGCTAAAGGTGTCTGGCAGAGAACTGCAGAGAAGCAAGACAGAGAAAAGTAGAGAGCTTAAAGAGATTTCCGGAGACGAATGCATGCAGATAGAGAGGATTTCATAGCCACCCACTGCCCTTACTCTGGGCAAGGAGAAAGCTGTTTCAAGAGTCAATTTATACAGGAGAAAAATAGGAGTACATATTCATTGTTTTATTTTATGCCCAACTCAAACTGAGGCAGCCTATAAACTAACACAGAATAGACTTAATCTCTGTGCCAACACTGTAGCTCAGTAATGGTATACATACAGTCAGAAAGTGGAAAGCATTAGCTTAATTTTTTTGACGTCGGGCTTCAGTTTAGCTAATGCCATTGAATTGACAGACCACCTCTTCAAACCTGTCTAAAGTTATTAAACTAATGGTTTCTATAATGTAACATAAAGTTATTCCCTCCTTCTCTCCGTTTAGAATGATATTCTAAATACAGATGGAGTCTCTGAACACTTGGTTTCTCCCTAAGTGATGCATGGAGGACGGATGAAGGAAAATTGAAACACTTTTCTGCTATGTTACCTTTTCAACCCATTTGTTTACTTATCGACCACTTATGGGTTACAAAGAAAATACACCACGATTTATTGCTTGGAAAGATGATGCAGAGAATTTGAGAGAGAATCACTAATAAATTGATGGAGAAGTGCTTTGTTAATATAGAGTGCTATTGAAATGCATAATGAGGAATGGCCTCTCCAAGGACACTCGCCCAAGAAGAGGCTAGAACTCTGGATGCTCACTCTTCATCTAACAGATCCTGGCATACAAAGCCTGAATACAGCATGTCTTTAACCCCACTTAGGTATTGCCAGAAGGAGTCTCCACTTCTTTCTACCCAGTAGTCTGCATTCAGTTAAGAAAGTACAACAAGAAACAGGGCAGTGCTTCTCAAGGTTTCGTGTACAACAAATCACCTATAATCTTGTTAAAAAGAGAGTTGTGGGCCGGACGCGGTGGCTCACGCCTGTAATCCCAGCACTTTGGGAGGCCGAGGCAGGAGGATCACGAGGTCAGGAAATCGAGACCATCCTGGCTAACACGGTGAAACCCCGTCTCTACTAAAAATACAAAAAAAAAAAAAATTAGCCGGCGTGGTGGCGGGCGCCTGTAGTCCCAGCTACTTTGGAGGCTGAGGCAGGAGAATGGTGTGAACCTGGGAGGCGGAGCTTGCAGTGAGCAGAGATTGCGCCACTGCACTCCAGCCTGGGCGACAGACCGAGACTCCGTCTCAGAAAAAAAAAAAAAAAAAAAAAAAAGAGTTGTGATTCAGTAAGTCTGGGGTGGGGCCTAAGATGTTGCATTACTGATAAGCTTTCAGGTGATGCCGGTGCTGCTGGTCTAAAATTTTGCTCCAACCTAGAGCATATGGAGAGATGCCTAGATTCCTGCAGTAAGCAGGATTTCAATATGCTGGCAAAGACCATCTCTCAAGGAAGTTAACGTTGTGTTTTTGGTTTGGGGTTTTGTTTGTTTTGTTTTGTTTTGTTCTGTTTTTAGTGTTTAAGACACAAATCAAGAGCTTCCAGTTCGGGGTGCCTAACAGGCAACAGGAGATGTAGAATTGGACTTGAGACAAGAGAGTAGGGCTGTGGATGGTTTGGGGAACCATCAACAAAATGTGTAGATAATTCCATAGATAGACTCATAGACAAATAGATGAAATATATGGAAGAGACCTCAGACTTCTCAGTCCAGGGCACATTCTCATGTTGGTTCATGCAAAACTCCATTTTTGATTTTTAAAAAGAAATTCTTTAACTTATTTATTCATTCATTCCCTTTTATCTCCATCCTCCCCACTACAAGCCATTTTCTAATGTGTTTGATGTGTATCCTTCTATTTCGTTAATTTTTCTTATATATAATATTTCATGTGCACTTTTTAATTTTTTATTCAGGTATAACATGGATACAGTAAAGCAAAATAACCTTAAGTATGCAGCTTGTTGAATTTACATGTATGTATACACCTATGTAAATAGCACTCAAACCATGAGCTAGAATATTTTCTGCAGCTCTGTGTTTTTTTGTTTTTGTTTTCTTGAGGAGGAGTTTTGCTTTTGTTGCTCAGGCTGGAGTGCAATGGTGCGATCTTGGCTCACTGCAACCTCCGCTTCCCAAGTTCAAGCAATTCTCCTGCCTCAGCCTCCCGAGTAGCTGGGACTACAGGCACCTGCCACCACGTCTAGGTAATTTTTGTATTTTTTTTTTTCTAGTAGAGATGGGGTTTCATCATGTTGGCCTGGCTGGTCTTGAGATGGAGTTTGGCTCTGTTGCCCAGGCTGAAGTGCAGTGGTGCAATCTAGGCTCACTGCAACCTCTCTGCCTCCTGGGTCCAAGTGATTCTCCTGCCTCAGCCTCCCGAGTAGCTGGCATTACAGGCATGTGTCATCACACCCAGCTAATTTTTCTATTTTTAGTAGAGATGAGGTTTCACCATGTTGGCCAAGCTGTTCTCAAACTCTTGACCTCAAGCAATCCGCCCACCTTGCCCTCCCAAAGTGCTAGGATTACAGGCGTGAGCCACCACACCCACACCCGACCCGCTGTGCATGTTTTAAATTTACGTAAGTGACATTGTGCAAAAGAGAGCATTATGTTTCTTACCTCATCCCACGAAACAATGTTTTCGAGGTTGATGTGTGCTGCTGTGTTTACATGCTATTCATTCCAGTTGCTTCCGATTGCTTCATGGTGTCCCTATTATACATCTGCCACATTTCATTTGACATTCCTCAGTGAAGGATGTTCAAATTGCTTCCAACTCTCTTTTCCACAAATAACACTGGAATGAACATCCTCATTCATGTTCTTTTATAGACCCATAGGAGATTTTTTTTTCTGTGATTTATAAGTAGGAAAGTGAGTACTGAGTCATAGAGTGTACACATACTTATTTTAACTAAGAATTGCCAGATTGCCTTCCAGAAAGGCTCTACCCATCTGCACTCACAAATACTTTATTCTGTAGTCAAATTTATGTTTCCTTTTAATTTGCACTGTGTTAAGCTGGACTCAAGGCAACTAGGTTTTATTAGGGTTACATTTAGATTGTGCCTATGAATGGCAATTCATTCAACCTCTTAAAAACTCTTTACTGAGCACCCACGATACACTAGGTACTCTTCTGGGTGCTGGAAATATAGCTGTGAAGAAGATAAAATCTCAACCCACATAGAATTTATTTTCCAGTAATTAAAACCATCCAGTGAATAAGATCACTTAGGAAGAGAGAATAGAGTGAGTAGGAAACAAAACCAAGGATGGAATTCCAAAAAAAAAAAAGATTAAAGGGTTGAGAAACAATGGACATGGTGGCTCTTGCCTGTAATCCCAACACGTTGGGAGGCCGAGACAGGAGGATCACTTGAGCACAGGAGTTCAAGACCAGCCTGGGCAACACAGTGAGACTTTGACAAAAAATGCAAAAAAGGCCAGGCATGGTGGCTCATGCCTGTAATCCCAGCACTTTGGGAGGCCGAGGCAGGCAGATCACCTGAAGTCAGGAGTCCGAGACCAGCCTGGCCAACATGATGAAACCCCGTCTCTACTAAAAATACAAAAAATTAGCTGGGTGTGGTGGCAGGCATCTGTAATCCCAGCTACTTGGGAGGCTGAGGCAGGACAATCGCTTGAACCCAGAAGGTGGAGGTTGCACTAAGCCAAGATTGCACTACTGCACTCCAGCCTGGGTAACAAAAGCAAAACTCCATCCAAAAAAAAAAAAAAAATTAGCAAGGCATGGTGGCATGTACCTTGTGGTCCTAGCTACTCAGGAGACTGAGGTGGGAGGATGGATTGAGCCCAGGAGGTAGAGGCTGCAGTGAGCCATGATCGTGCCCCTGCACTCCAGGCTGAGTGACAGAGTGGGACCCTGTCAAAAAAGAAAGAAAGAAAAGAAAAGGAAAGAAAGGAAAAGAAGGAAGGGATAGAGAGAAAAGGAGCCCTGTAGGGAGTCAAAAATATTGTTCTGAGAAGTATCAAGAAAACCAAGAAAAAGTGATGACAGAGGAACCAAAAAAGAGAGTTTCAAGTAACGTACACTCTTCAAGAGGTAATATAACTAAGAAGCTGTTGGTCACCAAAGAGGCTGTGGCACAGCCATTGGTGGAGAATGGGAGAATAATGGAGTAGTACACAGCCTGTGGTCCTCAGCCATGTTCACTCTGCCATGGTAGCAATGTCCCTAGACCAAGCCCATGCCCTCCACTTTTCTGAAAGCAATGGGACCCTCTTCTTTTCCCTTGGTCTGCATTCTTTTCTGAGAAAGTCCATCTTCACTTAGTGAACTGACCTGGCTCTTTCATGCCTCTAGACCAGAATATATCTTCTGAATTTTGGTGTAAATACCACTTTGTTTAGCAAAACTTTTTGCTGATTATTCCAAAGAGTGGGACTCTGGTCCTAACCAAAAATTTGGCCAATCAGTGTGAACATTACACAATTCATCTTTAGAATTAAAGAAGTTGGCCAGACACGGTGGCTCACGCCTGTAATCCCAGCACTTTGGGAGGCCGAGGCGGGTGGATCACGAGGTCAGGAGATCGAGACCATCCTGGCTAACATGGTGAAACCCCGTCTCTACTAAAAAATACAAAAAATTAGCCGGGCATGGTGGCACGCGCCTGTAGTCCCAGCTACTCGGGAGGCTGAGGCAGTAGAATGGTGTGAACCCGGGAGGCGGAGCTTGCAGTGAGCCGAGATCGTGCCACTGCACTCCAGCCTGGGCGAGAACGAGACTCCGCCTCAAAAAAAAAAAAAAAAAAAAATAGAATTAAGGAAGGTGAAAGAATGGGGAATGAATAGATTTTTTTTTCTAGTCTGACAGTTGGAAAGACAGCTTCAGATGTTCAGATGTCGTATTATTGCTGCTACGCAATGACAGCAACTTTACCTTGGTCCCATTGCTTTCCCTCACCCCTTTTATCACCGTTTATCATGTACGGTTGTGTTTTTTTTTTTTTTTTCCCGCAAAATGTCTGTTCCATGTATTCAATCTTTCATAGTCTCACAATTCTTCAACACTGACTCAGGCGTGATCCTTATTACCCATGCTTGAGCCAGAGCTATAGCCTCAGGACAGGCTCTGCCTCCCCCGCCGATCCCAAGCCTCCCCCACCGGCTGCCCGCGCCCCCTTCGCAGAAGCATCAGTACTCTCCCACACCTCCCGGTGAATCCTGCATGTCAGATTCACACACCTTCACAACCTGACCCCACGCAGCCTGGGCCTTCAATTTCCCATTACTTCCCAACCACAATCCCGTGGTCCCGCTACACGGCCCCTCCCCACGCTCGGTGCCCTTTCTGCCCTTCATTCCTCTTTCCTGCCACGTAGCACGTGAGCGGCGCCTCCTCAGTCTCCACAGAGTTCATCCAGAGTCCCATAGCCTTGACTCCCACTGCCGTCTAAATTCATTCAACAGCAGTTTTCAGACTTTCTGGTTTGGGGACCCTTTTACATACTTAAAACCTATTGAGGACCTCAAAGGGCTTTCATTTGGTGAATTGTATCTGTCAGTTTTACCGTAATGTAAATTAAACTGATGAAGTTGTTAAAATATTTATTACATTGCTGAAAAACAAAAATAAAAACAAAAACAAAAACACTACATGTTATTTTAAAAACACACACAGATTTTGGCCGGGCGCAGTGGCTCACTCCTGTAATCCCAGCACTTTGGGAGGCCGAGGTGGGTGAATCACTTGAGGTCTGGAGTTTGAGACCACCCTGGCCAACATGGCGAAACCCCGCCTCTACTAAAAATACAAAAATTAGCCAGGCGTGGTGGTGGGTGCCTGTAATCCCAGCTTCTCGGGAGGCTGAGGCACGAGAATTGCTTGAACCCGGGAGGCAGAGGTTGCAGTGAGCTGAGATCGCACCACTGTACTCCAGCCTGGCTGATAGAGTGAGACTTGGTCTCAACAAAACAAAACAAAACAAAACAAAAATACATTTTATGAAAAATAACCATATCTTCCAAATGAAAAAAAAATAGCAACAACAGTGGTAATGCTTTATATTTTTGCAAATAAAGCTCTTTAATGTCTGGCTTAATAAAGACAGCTGGATTCTTGTATTTACTTCTTCATTCTATCTTTTGTGATATGCTGTTTTGGTTGAAGTAAATGAGGAAAACTCACTCGCGCAGCCTTTGTGCTGGGTAAAGGGAAGAGAATTGTAATAGTATTTTCAGATAATTGTGAAGATTCCTTTTTTATATTAACCAAAACTGTGAAAGTGATAGTTTCTTGAAAGTTAGTTTCAGTGTAAAATCTGAAACCTTATCAGTAAACTGTTCATACTCTAGTATATTATAATCCATTGGTCTATCTTGCACTGTAAATAGATTTTTATCTACTCATGATTTTATACCATTAAGCACTGATCGTTTGTAAAATATTGATTCACTGAGTTATGCAGAACTTCCAAAAGTTGACACATTTTGTTAAAGAAGACATATATATGTACACTTTTTTTAAATCCCATACATTTTGTATCAGCAACATTCTTATCAGATAAGTATTCAAATATTGAGAAACTGGCAAGTTCATGGTGGTAAATACAAGTTTTCCAAAATCCCACTTTTTATTTGAAAGCTGGAACTTTCTAATTGGCAACAAAAATGTCCATTGCTTCCCTTGAAGTGATAGGTTCACTTTGTTCATTTCTAAGAAAATATTTGGCAAATACCCTAGGTTGGATAACTATAGCTTATCTGTCATTGTGATAAGCAGAAAAACATGCACTACCACCTCTAACACCCCAAAGATGTATTCACTTCCCAATCCCTGGGACCTGTGCATGTTACCTTTTAAGGCCCAAGAAGTGATGAAGTTAAGGATCTTGAGGAAAGGGGCTTATCCTGGATTAGCCAGGTGGGTCCTAAATCCAATGACAAGTCCCTTATAAGAGAGGCAGAAAGAGATTTGAGACACACAGAAGAGGAGAAGACACAGAGACACAAAGACGAGAAGATCATGTGAAGACGGAGGCAGAGACTGAAGTGATGCAGCCACAAGACAAGGACCGCCAAAGCATGCCCATCACCACCAGAAGCCACAAGAGGAAAGGACAGATTCTACCCCAGGTGCTCAAGAGGGAGCAGGGCCCTCCCAGCACCTTGATTTTGGACTTGGGACCTCCAGAACTGTGAGGGAATAAATTTCTGTTATCTTAAAGCACCAAGGCTGTGGCCATTTGTTGCAGCAACCCTAGGAAATGAACATAGTCATTCTTTCGAATGAAAATTGATGTTCCATGAAAAAGGCTGCCAGTTCAGCTATCAATTCAGGCAGTCACACAAGGACTTGTCTCGAGATAGCCATTGTATTTCAATATGGAGTAGCAGTGCTTTATGCACGGTTCTCATTTCATCACCCAAAAGATTCAAAAGTTATGCACTCAAGAGTTGAGATTATAAATTAATAACTTGTAATGCTTCGGCCGGGCATGGTAGCTCACGCCTGTAATCCCAGCACTTTGGGAGGCCAAGGCGGGCGGATCACCTGAGGTCAGGCGTTCCAGACCAGCCTCAACATGGAGAAACCCATCTCCACTAAAAATACAAAATTAGCCGGGCGTGGTGGTGCGTGCCTGTAATCCCAGCTACTCGGGAGGCTGAGGCAGGAGAATTGCTTGAACCTGGGAGGTGGAGGTTGCGGTGAGCTGAGATCGCGCCATTGCATTCCAGCCTGGGCAACAAGAGCGAAACTCCGTCTCAAAAAATAAATAAATGAATAAAAAATAACTTGTAATGCTTTATCAGGGACACTCTGAATTGAAACTGATATTTCTTAGCCTACAACTGAGTGGCAGTAAAGAATAATACCAGGACTGGTGGTACGGCGGGTGCCACTGACTCGGTTCCTGCTGAGGTACCACAGTTTTACCTACCCTCACTTTTGCCCCATCAGTGCAAATAGCAACGTGACAAAAAAAAGGACACTTAACATTTTAGCATTATTATGAAAATTATTTCGACCTCAAAGATCAGCTGAAAGTGTCTCAAGGTCTCCAGGGCCTGCAGGCCACATTTTGAAAGCTGCAGAAACAAAGAGAGCAAGACACTAATAGCAAAATGTAGGTGGTGGATATATAGTGTTAATTGTCCTTCTTTCTGAATTTGTCTGTGTTTTTGAAAATTTTCATAGTGAAATATTGAGGGAACAGTGTTATGTGTTTGTAAAAAAAAGAAAAAAATTATCGTTGGCTCACTCTGTATTGCCTAAACTGAAGGGAAAAACTTCCATCCTTGGCCGAAGGGAAACTCATATTTGGCTATCTTGAGTTCTGGCTCTGGGCTGTTCGTCCAGCCTCATCTCCTGTTCTCTAACCATATCATACACTTGGTGATCTGCAAATACCGGTCGGCTTAGAAGTATCCAAACTCGCCATAGTCTTCCCTGCCTTCGTACTTTTCTTGTGCTAATCCCTAAACCAGAAGGCTATTCCCTCCCACTTCACCCCTCCAGGAAAAATTTAATTTAGGCTTCAAGTTTCAGCTCCAATACTTTCTCCCCTCAGACTGACTTCCAGGCTTCCACCCTCGAGCCGGAATACACAGCAGAGGAGAAGGGCATCTGCCCAGGAAACCAACCAACATGAGATGCTGAAACATCAATGGCATAAATTAAACAGATGATGCCACTTAACTCAGGTTCCCACAGTCAACGCTTTCTGTAACAGGTGGCATGTAAATTAATAATGACTATTGAAGTCAACAATGTTCCAACATGAAATCATTCTACTTCCTCACTGGCCTATCTCTCATCATGAGTATTTTTGCCCTGGACATGAAAGATTGCTCTAAACCACCACAGGCCATTTCTGAGCCAGTTGCCTGAAGTCATAGTTGGAACTTGCAAAAGATGCTTAAACAAAACAACTCATGGTAGGGCAGTAGTTACTAGGAAAGCATGGGTCATATTACCATATAAATCTTAACTACTTTAATATGCCTCCCCAAAAGTTGTCTGCTTCAAAAATTGCAATTTCCAAAAGGTTAAACTGGGCTGGGTGCAGTGGTTCATGCCTGTAATCCCAGCACTTTGGGAGGCCGAGGCGGGGAGATTGTTTGAAGTCAGGAGTTCAAGACCAGCCTGGCCAACATGGTGAGACCTCATCTTTACTAAAAATATAAAAATTAGCTGGCCATGGTGGCGGGTGGCTGTAGTTCCAGCTACTCAGGAGGCTGAGGCAGGAGAATCGCTTGAACCTGGGAGGCGGAGATTGCAGTGAGCAGAGATCACACCACAGCACTCCAGCCTGGGCGACAGAGTGAGACTCCTTCTCAAAAAAATAAATAAATAAATAAAAAAGGTTAAACTGCTTATGTATATTCAGTGTGTCATAAATTCCTTATTAAAATCAAGAAGAAGAAGGTACATAAGTTTTCTTAATAGAAAATCCTTTTCTCTACATTAAAATTGATTATATGTTGAACATACATTTAAAGAATATCAGTTTGAGGAATGTCAAATTATGTCTGCCTAGGATGCCCATGTGTTTTTGGCCAGTCCAGACTTCTCCTAGCCCTGAATTTCTCCATTCTTCCAACACAGCATGATGTTATTGTCAATTATTTGGATTTATATCTCCACATTTGACTTCAAGCTCCTTGAAGGCAGAGACTATCTGTTTATCTTTCTAACCCAGGGGCTAACCCAGTTCCTGGCACCTAGAACATGCTCAATAATTGTTAATTAAGTGAATTCATGATGATGGGTGAGGCTCATGTACATTTCAAAATTCACACACCCATCATACAAATTCCACATACAGGAACAGGGCTCCCTAGGAGTGAGCCCAGCTCCTCTAGTGATCCACCTAATCAATCAAGTGTTTATTGAAAGACAAACACCAGCAACTCACCAGCCTGAAATCTGAATGCTGGGGAATGCAGAACAAAAGCAGGTCCCTGCCCTTCTGGAGTGAATAATGCAAACTCTACAGACACCCATGAAACAATTCAAGAAAGATTAAGTGTGTGGAGCTCCATAAAACAAAAGCTGGCAGAAGCCCTCCAGGGGACCCAGAATTTGAATGTAGGATGCTGAAGAAACCTGTTCCCCCCTTTATCACACAACAATTGAATGCAGACAATGGAGTCAGGGAACCAGAGGCCCAGATAAGCTCATAGGCCATGCAATATATGATGAAAAAAAAAAGCCTAGTAAACAAGAGTGGAAAGAATTCTAAAAGACATCTATAAATGTACAGTGCATCCAAATGTCCATTTGTGGACAAAAACATAAGTTTTTGAATCCTTTTCTGAGTAGCCCATGGCCAATCAATTGTTTTTCAGATCCTAAGGTAAATTGACCATTTATCACACCCAGAAGAGATTCATAATAATAGCCACCATTTATTGAACCACTTTATATTTGTGATCCAGTTTATTCCTCATATCATCTCTAAGCATTTAGCCCTTAGACCTAGCACCCAGGGTCCCTGCTCCATGATCCCTGCTCTCTCAGCCCCATTCCAGCTCCCCTATAGCCCTGGGGCAAGAGGCCAAAGCATGGGGCCACCTGGAGCCCACGCTATATCCGCTTCTAGAACAGTTGCCAGATGGAGCAAATGCAGGATGCCCAGTTAAATTTGAATTTCAGATCAATGGTGAATCATTTTTTCAGTGTATGTCCCATACTTAGTTTCAGACGTCTCAGAATAGCCAGTTCTTACCCATCCATCATGACTGGACCAAATACCACTCCCCCAGTACGCTCCTTTGCTCCCCACCCACACCCCAAGGTGGAAGCAGTCACCACCTGCTCTGAGCCCCCATTGCATCTCATCTCTACCTCTTCTAGGTGGCTTTTCCCTTTCTTTGCTACCCTAGCATGTGGCTCACCTTCTCTGCTAGACAGAAGCTCTGCAGCCCTAGCGACCTGTTATTTTATTTTATTTTATTTTATTTTATTTTATTTTATTTTATTTTATTTTATTTTTCAGACAGAGTCTCACTCTGTTGCCCAGGCTGGAGTGCAGTGGTGCAATCTCAGCTCACTGCAACCTCTGCCTCCTGGGTTCAAGCGATTCTCCTGCCTCAGCCTCCTGAGTAGCTGGAATTACAGATGTGCACCACCATGTCCGGCTAATTTTTAGTAGAGGTGCAGTTTCACCATGTTGCCCAGGCTGGTGTCGAACTCCTGACCTCATGATCCACCCACCTCGGCCTCTCAGAGTGCTGGGATCACAGGCGCGAGCCACCGCGCCTGGCCTAGCGACCTGTTTTAGGAGCATGCTCTCCAATCACATCCTCCACTAAGGCACGTGAGCTTTGTCTGTTAAAACCTCAACCTTTCTCTTTGCTGGGTTCACATCAAGCTAAAGTGGGGTCCAGGCATGGGAAAGTGGGGACTCCCTGCTACATGACCCACTTTCCCTTGGTGTCGCTGAGGAGCACATGAAGGGCTCCTCCTTCCATCGTCCATGCAGGATGGCTTTTCAGACAGCATCATAGAGGAAACTGAGGCACACACCCAGGGAGCTGCTTATCATCTACTCTCTTCCCCTCCTCCTGAAAGATAAAATTAGCTCTCACTGAGGACCATCTATCTCATACAAATCTCTCCCATTTTGCTCTCTGAAACATATGTTAAAGATCAAAATATTGAAGACAACAAGGATCTTAAATGTTAAGATGTTAGAGTACTTACGAATCAATAAGAAAAAGCAAAACAGCCCCAGTGGGTAGGGCATAATCCATACCGGTCACAAGACGTACAAATAGGGCAAAGGGCATTGAAAGAAAGCCCAGCCTCATTACTATTCAAATAAATGGCAATTATTTTTTCTTTAAAACAGCAAAAAAAAAAAAATTAAACATTGAAGACCTGGTTTTGACAAGAATGCATTGAAATGCACTAGCATGTGCTGCCACAGGAAGTGCAAACTAGAATGAAGTCTCCGAAGAGAAGTTTGTCAGTTCATTTCCAGAGCCTTGAAGACATTCATATTTTCTGACTTAACAACTCCATTTGTAAAAATTTCTCATGAGAACACATCAGATAGGCACTCGAGATTATTCACTGCTGTGCTATTTAAAAAAGAATTTTAAAACTGTCATGCAAATAAATGCCCAATGATAGGGGGATGACTAAATAAAATTAAGAATATGCATAAAAGACAAATTGTTGACTGGGTGCGGTGGCTCACGCCTGTAATCCCAGCACTTCGGGAGGCCGAGGCGGGCGGATCACAAGGTCAGGAGATCGAGACCATCCTGGCTAACACAGTGAAACCCCGTCTCTACTAAAAATACAAAAAATTAGCCGGGCGAGGTGGCAGGAGCCTGTAGTCCCAGCTACTCGGGAGGCTGAGGCAGGAGAATGGCATGAACCCAGGAGGCGGAGCTTGCAGTGAGCCGAGATAGTGCCACTGCACTCCCGCCTGGGCGAAAGAGCGAGACTCCATCTCAAAAAAAAAAAAAAAGGCAAATTACGGTGGTCATTCAAAATCAGATTTTTAAATGAGTATTGCTGACATAAGAAAATACTTGTAGGGCTGGGCATGGTGGCTCACACCTGTAATCCCAGCTCTTTGGGAGGCCGATGGAGGTGGATCACCTGAGGTCAGGAGTTCGAGAACAGCATGGTCAACATGGCGAAACCCTGTCTCTACTAAAAACACAAAAACTAGCCAGGTGTGATGGCGGGCACCTGTAATCCCAGCTATTCGGGAGACTGAGGCAAGAGAATCACTTGAACCTGGGAGGCAGAGGCTGCAGTGAGCCAAGACTGCGCCACTGCACTCCAACCTGGGTGATAGAGCGAGACTCTGTCTCAAAGAAGAAGAAAATACTTGTATTGACTGGGAAAGGCTAGGTTATGCTGCAGTAACAACTTCAAAATTTCAGCAGTGTTGCACGACAAAAATATGTCTCTTGTTTACATTACACATTGAAATGACATGAAGCAGGCAGGGATGGAAGGAGGCTCTCTCCGTATAATCACCCAGTGACCCAAACTCTCTGATGGGCACCTGACAGCCCTCTCAGTTGTCTCAGCCAGAATAGACAGCACTGCAGAGTCCTGCACAGGCAGTTAAATGTCCAGCCCAAAAGTAACACCCCTCGCTTTGGCTGACAGCCCATTGGCCAGAACTAGTCTCATAGCTCCACCTACTTGCAAGGTGGGCGAGAAAAATGTAATCCTACTATGCACTCAGGCGGACAAGTCAGATATAGGGGAATGCTAAACGTTTCTGCTCATATACTTAATGATAAAATAGTAAGAAAGAAGGGTGGGAGGCCAGGTGAGGTGGCTCAAGCCTGTAATCCCAGCACTTTGGAAGGCCAAGGGGGGCAGATCATGAGGTCAGGAGATTGAGACCATCCTGGACAACATGGTGAAACCCCATTTCTACTAAAATACAAAAAATTAGCCAGGCTTGGTGGCACACACCTGTAGTCCCAGCTACTCTGGAGGCTGAGGCAGGAGAATCACTTGGAACCAAGGAGGTGGAGGTTGCAGTGAGCTGAGATCAGACCACTGCACTCCAGCCTGGGCTACAGAGTGAGACTCCATCACAAAAAAAAAAAAAAAAAAAAAAAAAAGTGGAATACAAAATTGCATATTCAACACAACACAATTTTAGAGAAGAATATATGATACTTTCACATTCGTATGTATAAGTGAAGTCCTTTATAATAAGACAGGGATCTGGGTTGTGAAATTATGGATGGTTCTTATTTTCCTCTTTAAACATTTTTGAATTTTCTAAATTTTCTACCAAAAAAACACACTAATTTCTATAATAAAGGAAAAACAAACTTTATGTTTCAGTATTAATCATGCTGTCCTATGTCTTCTTGCCTTTGGAAAACAAATTTTTCTTCTCCCTTGTTCAGAAAATTCCTTCTAAGACAGCTTGCTCTTGGTACCACTACTAAGAAGCTTAGTGGCACTGGCTCACTTAGTGTGGACCCAGCTTCGTCTACAAAATGGGAATACTACTACTTGCTCTTCTACCCATAAGAGGCTAAATAAGACCTAACTAATAAGTGTGCATTCAAAGAAAGACATTTGCATCTGGGGAAGAAATGTGCTCATTAGACACAAACCATTGCGATACTTCCCTCAGAACTGGTAATTAAATGGTGCCGCTCTACCCATGAGATTAGATAATATCTAGCTGCCATTTAGCCAAAAGATATGCTCAAATCACTTGATCATTATTCCCTAAGAAAATACAAACCTTCCCAAATAGTTCAGCCTTAGAAGAAGAAACACTCAGAATATTCATTCTTGAGTGAATAGATTGTATTCTTGGCTGCCAACTTCACTAATAGATACCAAGTATCTATTCAGTCTTCCTCTGAATCCTCATGGCTGGCTTAGCCTGTGGCAGACCACCAACCCTAAGTTGTTGGACACCTTGTTTCAAGTACCAATTTCCAGGACCAGGGTCTACTTCCCCTCCAAGGGCAGAAACGCTCTGAACTCCTCTTTTTGTATGCCTTTGCCATCTAGCTCAGAACTGCTTGATAAATGTTGCTGATTGCACCTGAACCCTGTAGGAGAAGAGGTAAGTTATAGGCATGATCCTGGTCCCTTCCTCAAAACACACCTGATGCAAGACCTCTGTGCTCATGCCAGGCACTTAAAGCCTATGGGCTGACAACAACTCCCAGCTAAAAAGACACACGGATTAGAAATGGGAACAGCATAGAGCTTGACCCACAGGTGCCCAATTGAGATTCCATTATTAAAAAAAAAAAAGAAAGAAAGAAAAAGAAAATGGGCCAGGCACAGTGGCTTATGCCTGTAATCCCAGCACTTTGGAAAGCCGAGGCGGATGGATCACGAGGTCAGGAGATTGAAACCAAAACCAGCCTGGGCAGCATCATGAAACCCAGTCTCTACTAAAAATACAAAAATTAGCCAGGCATAGGGGTGCGCGCCTGTAGTCCCAGCTACTCGGGAGGCTGAGGCAGGAAAATCACTTGAATCCGGGAGGAGGAGGTTGTGGTAAGCCAAGATCGCGCCACTGCACTCCAGCCTGGGTGACAGAGTGAGACTCCGTCTCAAAAAAATAAAAATAAAAAATTACACACTGTATCTACTCAAGGAGAAAAGACTTACTTTCACAAGGCTGTCAGATTATGCACATCTTTCAGTGGACGGTGAAAAGCAAACACGACTGCAGGAAATCCCAGCGTATCAGGGACAGATGGAATGCTTGCATTTGGGATCTTCTTTTTATTTTCCATTATGCCCCACTAGCCAAAGGTCTCCATCGATGTGAGGAGAAATTAATTAGTGGCAGCATCACCGTTGCAGTATCGTTTAATTGCTGATATGACAGGGAAGGAGAAGGAAAATGAAGAAGTTGGGGAGGCAGATTATCACAAAACAGATAAAGTTGTAATGAATAGTGTCCTGCAATGTCGCTTATCCTGGAACAAAGTAAGAATAACGCATTTGCCTGTAACTGATCCAAGGCCACATTCGCTGTACAACACAATACTTGCTTCCTCCACGTGGTCCCCACCTGGAAGGGGAACAGTGGAGAAAATTGCTAATGTGAGAGGGACATTGTGGGAGCCGCATAAGACACCATCTCCACAGGCCCAGGGACACAGAGCCCCCGGCCCTTGTGGGGTGACAGTCTACACAGTTTTACTAGTGCCTTTACATTGGCCTCAAGTTGTGCAAAATCATGCATTTTTGACACAAAAACAGTCCGACATTTAAAATCATTACCACCTCCCTTTGACTTCTTAGCTGCAAGTATGAGATTGAATCATACCATTTAGCCCTGTGATTTATGGATATCATAAATCGCATTGTGTTTGTAGTCCAGTAGTGTCTGTCACAGTGCTAAAAGACCAGTGCAACTGGCATCGTAGGAAGAGACAACAACAAGACTGCTTATAAAGATATTTGGGATTAAATGGCTTGTTGGGAGCTGGAGGAAATGGTCCTAGCCACAACAAATCTTTCAACATTCCTCTCACTGGGATGGGGGTGGGAACTGTTACTGGTCTTCCTCCACCATCGTCTGATTCACTCTCCCCTGCCAACACTGGCACCATCCATCACCTCCTTCCGCGATAGGGACACAGATAGCACCACTTATAAAATCAACATCACTCTGTTTTGGCTCAGCATGAATTATTACTCTTCAAAGGTAGGAGAGAAAGCGGTGAAAGGGAGGACTGATTTATATTGCAGTTGCCCTCCTGGCACTATATGGGTTTGGGAAGATAATGGGGAAGAAATTCCGAGTTCTCTAAATTAAAGTTAATGAAGGAGCACATTTTCAACTGTTTTATAGCCTCACATGGGTTACTATTCAACACTCAGGCCTCTCCACCACACATGTTGCTTTTTTGGCTTTTTTTTTTTTTTTTGAGATGGAATTTTGCTCTTCTTGCCCAGGCTGGTGTGCAATGGCACAATCTCGGCTCACCACAACCTTCGCCTCCTGGGTTCAAGCGATTCTCCTGCCTCAGCCTCCCGAGTAGCTGGGATAACAGGCATGCGCCACCACGCCCCGCTAATTTTGTATTTTTAGTAGAGACGGGGTTTCTCCATGTTGGTCAGGCTTGTCTTGAACTCCCAACTTTGGGTGATCCACCCACCTTGGCCTCCCATAGTGCTGGGATTACAGGCGTGAGCCACCTCACCCAGCACTTTTTTGGCTGCTTATCTACATTACACCAACATCTACACTACACTCATAATCTACATCACATCAGTAACTTACTGCTGGACCTCTGTAACTGCTGGCTTCATCCTAATGTTTAATAATTCAGGTATGGTCTGCTTGCTGTGTTTGTTTCTGAGGGCTGCCATAACAAAATACCGCAGACTGGTGGCCGGACACAGAAATGTATTCTCTCACAGTTCTGGAAGCTGGAAGTCTAAGGTCGAGGTGTCAGCAGAGTTGGTGTCTCCTGGGGCCTCCCTCCTTGGCTTGCAGATGGCGTCTTCCACTGTGTCCTCACATGGTCTTCCCTCTGTGAGTGTCTGCGTCCTCATCTCCTCTTTTTACATGAACACAGTCATGGTGGATTAAGGATCGCCCATAGGACCTCATTGTAACTTAACTACCTCTTTAAAGATGAAATACGGCTCATGCCTGTAATCCCTGCCAAGGCGGCTGGATCACCTGAGATCAGGAGTTTGAGACCAACCTGACCAACATGGCGAAACCCCATCTCAACTAAAAATACAAAAATTAGCCAGGCACGGTGGCAGGCACCTGTGATCCCAGCTACTCAGGAGCCTGAAACATGGAAATAGCTTGAACCCAGGAGGCGGAGGCTGCAGTGAGCTGAGATCGCGCCAATGCACTCCAGCTTGGGCAACTGACTGAGACTCCACCTCAAAAAAAAAAAAAAAAAAAAAAAAAGACAAAATACAGTCGCATTCTGAGGAACTGGAGATTAGTTAGGGCTTTAACATATGAATTTGACGGGGGGGGAGGGACAAAATTCAGCTAAGAACCTGCTTTTCCTGAAGCATCACCAGATCAACATTACATACATGTGTGCACACACACGCACACACACATTTTACGTTCTTCTCTGACTTGCTCAGAATTTCCAATTCCAACTACTGTGTCGGGAGCCAGGGAGGGAAGAACTCCATATGTCCTGGCTCGGAACAGTCTCTCTGGGGTAACCCAATGTCTCCCAGTAAGTGCCCAGTTTTGCAGGGCATCTCCTCTCTCTCCAGGACTCAGCCTACCCACTTTCTGTAGGGGTAGAGATAAGCACTGGCATCCTCCCAGCAGTGACAGGAAGGCCTCAGGCCTCGCTCTTGCTCCTTGCTGTGTCCCCTGCCTGCACCTGGGCATCGGCCTCTGTCCTCACTGCTGTTGTTGCTGAAGCACCAAGGCCGGTGTGACTCTGCGTCTCTTCTTTGAGTGGGGCATCACCCACTCATTGCTCCGGGGACCTTAGCCTTCCCGCCCGCTGACCGCCTGGTCCACCTGAGCTCTCCCTGGTCCCACAAGTGCCCCAGGGTCAGGCTTCATCTCCCTATTGATGCCAACTCCAGCAGCCACCTTCTAGCTGCGTATGCAGAAGACTCTGCCCTTCCCCCGGTGAAGTCCCTCAGTGGGCTCACCCAGCCCACACCTCAGCTACCGTCCACATCTCCCACCAAAACACAGTGTGGCATAAGCGTGGAACCACCGCGTAAGGCTCTCTTCACTGACACGTCACATCCTCTTTTCTTCTCTGTGGGGAAGCCCCGCCTCAGCCTCGGGCACCATCACGGGGGTGTGTGTGGGGGGGTCTCCTTTCATTCTCTGAATGTGGAGTGGGAGCACCGCCCCTCAGTGTCAACTTCCTGCAACTTATCTGAGATGTGTTACCCGCATCTCACACGTCCCCCCACCGGCGCCCCCACTTCCACCCCCGCCTTCAGCAAGAGACTGGAACTCTGAGGAAGAAACTAAGAACACACCTATTCCCTTTCTCCTTCTCTCCTCAGTCCTTCCTCTCTCAACTAGAAGGGTTTTCCATGTCCAGCAGTACAGATAATTTCCTTATGTCAGATTCTCTGTTCTGCACATCATGGTGTAAGATAATAACACCCAGTGCTCAGACCTCCAGGGTCTACTTTTCACAGGCAGATGGAAACTTATTGGAATTTGGGAAATACTTTTCTTTCTTAGCAAAGCATGGACTGGAAGATTCTCTCACTTTGCACAAAACAATTCTAACATGAAACCCAAAGCTAAGCCAGGACTCTTTCTTCTGAGCAGCCTCCTCCTTCTCTCCCCCTGAATTGATGGATTCAGCTCCAGGACAACCTGATACAAAAGTACACAAACACACTGTAGCACTAGCAACTGTGAAACAAATATTCCAGTACATGGCAGGGCGCGGGGGCTCACACCTGTAATCCCAGCACTTTGGGAGGCCGAGGCAGGCAGATCACGAGGTCAGGAGTTTCAGACCAGTCTGGCCAACATAGTGAAACCCCGTCTCTACTAAAAATACAAAAAATTAGCTGGGCATGGTGGTGGGCGCCTGTAATTCCAGCTACTTGGGAGGCTGAGGCAGAAGAATCGCTTGAAGCCGTGAGGCGGAGGTTGCAGATAGCGCCACTGCACTCCAGCCCAGGAGACAGTGTGAGACTCCGTCTCAAAAAAAAAAACCAAAAAATAAATAAATATATATATATATATATATATTCCATTACATCCCCCAGAGTAGGTCAATTTGTAAAAGGGCATTTAATTTATCTGGTTAGCACTGTTTTCCTTAGATAGGCAATTGGGGAGGCAATGGAGAAAAATATCAAATGCATTCATTAATAATTCATTGGTAGGAGCCTCTCTCTGGTTCCTAACCAGAAAGCTTTCGTATCCAAAGAGCTAAGGCAATGACAATGACAGCAGTTATCCTCCCAGGAACATGAAGGCACCCACCATCCTTACTGTTTACTTATATATCTCATTTGGGATCTCATCACTAAGGGTTGTGAAAACTAGCAGAAGAAAACCCTCAGAAAACTTTCAGTATAAGAAGATTGAATTGGCTGGTTCCCTGACTCATTACAACAGAACGGAAAACGTGAATTCAAGGCAATATAAATGATGGCTCAGATGGAAACTAGAGTCAGGCTGCTTGGCTGCCTGTCTCGACTCTCCCTCTTCCTTTGTAACTCCAACCAAGTCACTTAATCTCCCTGTGTCTGTTTCCCCATCTATAAAATGGGAGTTATAAAAGGGCCTACCGCATGGTGGTGTTGGGAAACTAACAAGAATTAATTCACATAAAGTGCTAGACCTGTGTTTGACACACAGTAAATAGACTCTTAGTAAATGTTAGGTGTTATTATTACTATCAGGTTGTAGGAAAGTGGTTACTATGAATAATATTAATAGCTAAGACTTATGGAGTGCTTACAATGCTAAGCAATGTTATAAGTTCCTTCCATATGTAACAGCGGCAAAAAATTATTATTATAAAAATATTTTTAAAGCCCTTTTTTCCATCCTCTCTTATGTCTGCTCACCTCCACTTCCACTAGTAAAATTCTGACTTGATTCCCTTGGCATTTTCCCATATCCTCAGCTCACAGGCCTTAATTCACAGACTGGGGAAAAAATACTGTAAGCCTGAGAGGCAAGATTTATATTTGCAATGGGAAGAACCTCTGGCAGAAACAAACAAACAAAAATAGCTCAAAGCAAGCATGGCAGGTGAGCATGAGAAGTCTGCTGTTGGGATGAAGAGTGCACTGAGGAGGGTTTTTCAAGTATGCTCTGTTAGAAGTGAGGGGTGGGCAAGTTGAAGCCAAGAAATTTTCTAAAGCTTAGTATTTCTTAGGCATATGCTGTTGAAATTTTCTTAAGAAACCACAGTAAACACTTGACTTGCTTTCCACTAAGCTTCCTTGTGAATTTGTTCTTTTCTCTGGAAGTGACTTTAAGCTAAGACAGGACCACGTGGGACCTGACTTTATGCAGGTTACACACCCATTCTTTCATTTTATCCTCACCACAGTCCTAGGTGTTGGGAACTATTATTATCCCTCATTTGAAGAGAAAACTTGCCCACAGTCACACAGAAAGTACCGAGCCTGAATGTGAATCTAAGTAGTGTGACTTGGGAACCTGCACACTGACCACTGTGTTAACCCTTTTTGCCTACTTCTTAATAATCCATGCTTCCTAAATTATCCTTAGAAATTATTATCTAAGGAAACTAATGCCACGTTTCCTCCCACGTCATAAAAAGGTCTCCTTTCAATAAAAATAAAAATCAAGCTAAGTGCAAGTGGCACACACCTGTAATCCCAGCTACTGAGGAGGCTGAAGCAGGAGGATACTTGAGCCCAGGAGTTTGAGGCTGTGATGCACGATGATCACGCCTGTGTATAGCCACCGTACTCCAGCCTGGGTAATATATCAAAACCACCATTGCTAAAACAAACACATAAACGAAAAGAAAAATCAAAGTGTATACATTTGTTTGTTGTGAGTATATAACTTTAATAACATTTACGCTGTTTAAAATTCAAAAGGTACAAATACTGTTTATCAAAGTCTCCCACCTAACCTTGTCCCTCCAACCATCTGGTTCTCTTTCCCAGAGGCAAACAATGTTATCAGTTTCAATTATATATTTTCAGATAAAAGCATTACAAGCAAATGCATTTTTGCTCTCTCCTTTTTTAAATGCTAGCATTACATACTCAATATTGTCCACTTTGATTGCTTTCATTTATCAGCATCTTGGAAATCACTTCACGTTGGCATGTAAGAAGCGTCCTCGTTTTTTTTGTATAGCTAAAAAAATTCATTAAGATGCAGCAGCATTTATTTAACAAGTTCCCTAATTGTTGGACAATTAGAATATTCCTAACTTTGCCCTATTATAAATGATATGATGATAAATACCCTTGTACATAATGTCATTTTGCATATGCTAGTATATCCATAATATAAATTCCTAGAAACGGAAGTGCTGGGTCAAAGGCCATGTGCATATGTATTTTTAAATAGATGCTCCCAAATTGCCCTACATGGATTATTTTAAACAAAATACACTCCTACCAGCAATGTATGAGGTAGTGTATTTTCTCACACCCTCTCCAACACAGTGGATTACTAAACTTTTTGGTCTTTGCCCATCTGATAGATGAAAATGGAAAATCCATTACTTGTCTTTCTCAGGATATGTGAGTTTGAACTATAGCTTGCTGTCCACAAACCTCTTTATTCGTTCATTTCAATAGTACAAGGCATTTAGCACATACAAGGCTCAGTCCTAGGCACCCCTTTGCCCTATAAAGCAGAAACTTTCTCTGAAATCATATGTGGCTTAAGATTCCTTCCGATGGCTGGGATTTGAGTAACTCCTGATCTCTTCACTGTGGAATAAGAGAATAGTTATTGGGGTTTTAGAAGAACAAATAACACTCCTGTCCCCATTCTCTTCCCAGCCCCCACCCAGCTTCAAGTGGGACCAATTAAAAGACTCAGAATCAGACAGATGGAGATCAAAATATCTGCTTTATTTCTGATAAAGCCGATTGGAGTCTGAAGCTTAGAGCTGGAAACAGATGGGTTTTCTAATATCTGCCCCCACCACAAAAGGAAACCATGATTAAACCCACATACCAGTCACAGCAGGCCTAGTCAAATGCAAGCTCCTCTGAAGCCAGGGCCACTTACCGTAGGGCCGCAGAGGGGACTTGGTTTCCTGAGGACAGCCACACTCAGCAGGAACTTGCAGGAGGGAACCCTCAGTCCACCCAACCAGAGCAGCCACTGGGGAGGTGGAGACAAAAGGCCAGTAATGTCCCTCCCCAATAGCTTTCCCCTCCCCAAGCAAGGAGGCTCTCATCCCTCTAAGCAAATGTAAGGAGAGGGAGATAAGAAGGTTCTACTGGGCTGGGCGCGGTGGCTGTAATCACAGCACTTTGGGAGGCTGAAGTGTGCAGATCACTTGAGGTCAGGAGTTTGAGACCAGCCTGGCCAATGTGGTGAAACCCCATCTCTACTAAAACACAAAAAATTAGCCAGGTGTGGTGGTGGGCACCTGTAATCCCAGCTACTTGGGAGACTGAGTCAGGAGAATCACTTGAACCCAAGAGGCGGAGGTTGCAGTGAGCCGAGATTGTGCCATTGCACTCCAGCCTGGGCAACAAGAGCAAAACTCTATTTCAAAACAAAAAAAAAGAATGCTCCACTGAGGTCTACCTTTGAAGGATAAAGTTATAAAGAAAATGGGACCTTTCTGGAAGGAAAAAAAATGTTAATCTAAGAAGAATAAAGCATTTATTTATTCATAAGCTTCCACCGTATCTGTACAAAACTCTAGGAAATAGAAGTATCATAATTGATTTAACCATTCCACAACTGTTGGGCAAATATATTTTAAGAGTTATCATTTAAATAATTCTACAAGGAACATCTTTATTTTGTTCTAATATGTTGGATGATTTTCTAGGAAGCATTCTCAGAAGTGGAATTATTGAATTAAACAATAGGAATATATTTATTTATTTACTCATTTATTTTTCTAGATGGGGTCTCACTTTGTAGCCCAGGCTCCAGCACAGTGGTACAATCATGGCTCACTGCAGCCTTGACCTCCTGGGCTCAAGTGATCCTCCCACCTCAGCCTTCCGAGTAGCTGAAACTACAGGTGTGCGCCACCATGTCTGGCTAGTTGTTATGGTTTCTTTTTTTTAGAGATGGGGTCTTGCTATGTTGCCCAGGCAGGTCTCAAATTCCTGAGCTCAAGCAACCAGCCTTGGCCTCCCAAAGTGCTGGAATTACAGGCATGAGCCACCAAGCCCGGCCAATACTTTTATTTAAAAAAAAAAAAAAAGAATGTATTTATTCATTCATTCAATAAACAGAGATTAAGGATTTACTTCATGCCAGGCTCTGTGCTAGGATCTGGATGAATAAAACTCAGATCTCTCCTTGCATAGAATTGATATTGTAGAGGAGAGATAACCACATTAAATAAGCTGTCCTTAAGCTCTAACCGAACCTTGGAGAAAGGGCAGAGAAGGCTTTGCAGGGAGGGGGCCTTAAGTGCTGCTAGGAAGGATGAGCGGGGCAGGGCAGTGGGTCCCCTTGTGCATAATGCTATTTTGCAGACAGGGTTCGCAGGCAGGGCATGAGAGGAAAACCAGATTGAGGGAAAAATCAGGTGCAAAAGTAGGAAAGGGAGCCAGGCTGTTGTTTGGGGCATGGGAAATATTTCTGTGTGGATGGAGAACTGTGCAAAAGGGAGGAAGGAGCACAGGTAATGTGAGATGAGGCTGGGAAGATATTCTGAGCCAGATGAGAAGCTTGATCCTTAGGCCACGACTTGGGGTGCTTGAGTGCTTTTTCAGCAAAATTGACATGATCCGATTGGCTTCAGAAAGATCATCCTGGCAGGAAATGAGGAGGATAGATTGGAAAAACAGAAACAGAGAGGAATTGAAGGCAAGAGTTAGCATGCTGTCCCAGGAGAAAGCAGTGACCCAGGAGACGACACAAAATTAGCACCAGGGAAAAGAAAAGCTAAGAGATGCAACAGACTTTTTTTTTTTTTTTGACACGGAGTTTCGTTCTTGCGGCCCAGGCTGGAGTGCACTGGCTCGATCTCGGCTTGCTGCAACCTTCGCCTCCCAGGCTTAAGAGATTCTCCTGCCTCAGCCTCCAGAATAGCTGGAATTACAGGCCTGTACCACCACGTCCGGCTCATTTTGTATTTTTAGTAGAGAAGGGGTTTCACCATGTTGGTCTGGCTGGTCTCGAACTCCTGACCTCAGGTGATCCACCCGCCTTGGCCTCCCAAAGTGCTGAGACTACAGGTGTGAGCCACTGTGCCCGGCATCAACAGACATTTTGCAGGTAGAATGAATGGTCCAGGAACAGTGATTGACTAGACATGGGGGGTGAGTGAGAGGTAGGCAAGGGCAAACGGTGTTCTGTCTGACAGTGGGGTTAAAACTGAGACTGCAAAGAAAACGGCAGGCAGACTTGGAGGGAGAAGAAAATGAATTCAGTTTGGGGCATGTTGTGATAGAGGTGCCTAAGAGATACCTAGTAGGATGTGTCCAGCAGGTGCCTGGAAGTAAGAGTGTGAGCTCCGGAGATAAGTCAGGGTGCAATCGGCTTGGTGGTTATCGGGATAGGACTGTAGGGGCAGTCTTGGGTATACTGTAAACACAGTCTGCTGAGAAAGCAATGAACCATTGCAGAGAAACGGAATGGTGCAGGAGAGCCAAACAGGCAATGAGTATCTGGAACAAAGATGAGCACAAGGCAGGAAATTTCAGCGGTGGGGGTGAGAGGGTGTGGGAGCTGAGGAAGAGGAAGAACCCTTCAGCTAACCATGGATGGGATAAAATTCTCCCCGCTCCTCAATGCCATACTGCACCTTTAGAATGTCTAGGCAGTCTTCTCCCCCACGCTTGCTTGTCCTGTGATATTCACCTCCTCTGCAACTGACAATCACTCAGGAGAGAGCTCCAGCTTCCTCCTGCTTATGTCTCTGGAAGAAATTTCTCCTCCTTTGCCATAGAAAGAGGAGCAAGAGAGCAGGATATGTGTTTGGGAACACACTTTCCCCCAAAACTTACAAAAAGCTCCGCATTTACCAGCATCAGAGGGAAATCTAATCTGTTTGTCTACGGGTTTCTCTCCTCCTCTATCTATCAGTGACCCCTGCCAGGATCCTTCTAGCCCACGCCATCTGCTCCCGTCAACAACCTGGCCACCCTCTATGCTCACCTTTCTTTAGCCATCAGATCTTGGCATAAGCTAATCCACATGCCTGGAACATCCTCGTTCCTTTCCATAAAATTTCAATTGATTTCTTCAAAATCATGCTTATGTCTTACCCAGTCTCTGATGTTTTCCTTCATTCTCCGAGTATGAACACAACACATGGCTCACATCCACCGTCCGTCGACAATAGATACATTATCTCTTTTTTTTAAAATAGAAATCATGTCGTTTTTCATAATTATTCAGAAAAATAAGCAGATTTTTCTAGAAAACTATCTGCCTGTAAGCATCAATATTTTCTTTAATTCATTCAACTGACCAATATTTATGGAGCATTGACTTGTTATGTCACATGACAGAGAATATTAAAAAATGAAAGTCAATAGAGAGAAAGCATTCATTACATGGGCCAAGAAACTAACTTGGGCCTCCTTTAGGGGGTACAGAACTTATATGTGAACAACTCCCACTGCTTTGCTTGATAGATCTGGCTAAAGTAGATTAGCCCCTCCTTTGTCTTCTATCCTGTACAGAAAGGAATTAACAAAGTCTAAAATATTGTGTTGGACTCGACGGCATCATTTTGGACATTCTGGCTTAAAATAATTGCTCTTTCCCCCACCCCGTTTTTTTAAAAAAATGAGAAAAGCCATATGTTTCTTGTGAAAAGTTGGGAAAAAATATTTCTAATCGCCATGGTCACACCGTCCAAAAAGCAACCACCGCTAACATTTGTGTATCTCTTTCCAGGCTTTTACCCAGCCATTTTTAGGGAGTTATGCCTTAATAAAAATGTATTACATTGAACATAAAATGTTATAGCTTGCTCTTTTACAAGTTAATATGATAGTATAAACATTTTTTTAGTGAGCATTCTTTGTGGAACAATGTCTCTGTGCCAGGGTGAGCTGGGACATTTTTCTTTCCGTCTGCCTCCCCATCCTCCACCACATCTCTATAATCAAGGGAGAAATCCTGGGCCCCCACTCTTCCCTCACTTCTCCGGCCCCTCCCGCCCCATGCAGGGGAGCAGAGGAGCTTACATCATCCTCTGCTGTGACCACAGCAGCTTGAAAGAGCTAAAAAGTGGTAGATCCTTAGCAAATGACTGAGGCTGTGAAATTTTTAGGGCTGAAGAATGGATGAAGGGACAAGAACACCCTTATTTCTATAGAAAGGAGTTCAAGGGAGCAGAGTGTGGCAACAGGAAGTTCTAGACACTGAAACAGGAAGAAATGAAAGAAGTTGTGAAAAGAAACGTCCACTGATGTGGGGGGGCATTGATGTGTAATATCCTCTGACTAGTGAGGGGTGTCCATTTCCCTCCCTGGTCACATGCAAAAGGTGGCAAGAGCCTCTTGTAGCCCACGCTGTACAAGGTGAAAAGGAGCACCTCTCTGAAGGCTATAACCCAAAGGAAGACAACTATACTATGCTCCATCTCAAAGGCCCACAAGTTCCCACTTTCCATTTCCAGAGAATCCTTGGAGACAGATTCTGTGCGACAGAAAAGGGGCCTTTGGTGTGGGTTATATTTGTAATGCAGTGATACCTCCCAGGACTCCCAGTGACTGGGGAGGAAAGCACATCCCTCCTGCCTGTTCGGGGCATTGTTTCACCTTCATGCACCTAAGGAAGGTACAGGCTGCTTTTTGGAAGGGTGAAAGGTGGCCAGGTGCAGTGGCTCAGGCCTGTAATCCCAGCACTTTGGGAGGCCGAGACAGGCAGATCACCTGAGGTCAGGAGTTCAAGACCAGCCTGGCCAACATGGTGAAACCCCATCTCTACTAAAAATACAAAAATTAACCGGGCGTGATGATGCATGCCTGTAATCCCAGCTACCCAGGAGGCTGAGGCAGGAGAATCAATTGAATCTGGGAGGCAGAGGTTGCAGTAAGCCAAGATCACTCCTGCACTCCAGCCTGGGTGACAGAGCAGGACTCCATCTCAAAAAAAAAAAAAAAAAGAAAAAAAGAAAAAAAGAAAGGTGAAGAGTACTTGCCCTGACACAAAATGGCAATGGCTGTAGAATACTACAAAATGGCCACAGAATACTACACAGTGAAACATCTGCTTGTTCATCCTTAACGTCCAATGCAATAACTCCCTATCTTGTCTGTGCATTGGATCACCTGAGTAGCTTCCAAAACTACCGATGCCTGTGTGTCCTCCATTACCCACCCAACCCCCAGCTCACCCCACCTCCCCACCTCCCCCCACTCCCATGTCCAGGGATTATTATTTAATCCATTTTGTGAGTGGCCTGAGTTTAAAAATTAATGAAAGATATCCGGAGGATGCTAAAGCATGTCTGAAAAGTGTGGGAACCATTGCTTTAATGTGAGGTCCTCAGAAATTACTTCTCCTTGTAGGCAGTCTATTGCCATTGCCTGGGCCAGCTCCTTCTAGGCAGTCTATTGCCATTGCCTGGGCCAGCTCACCTCCACAACGTTAATCTGGTATGTTCTGGAAAAGCTTTCTAGAATATATCCAAAATAAGAGGAAATGAATTCAGAACAATGCAAGCAAAGTTTTTGAACTGTAGAATCCTAATTTTTTTTTTTTTTAATAAACTGTGTCTGCTCTGAGATCTCAGCTTTTTTCTGGATAGCTGAGCTGATTGAATAAGTGAACACCAGATAAGTGGAGTTTCATGTTTATACCTGTGATGGATCATGTGTTTATAATGCATATGCTTCTAGATATTTAGCCTAAAATTGATGCATTCAAACAAGAGTGTTTTTCCCTCTTCCTCTCTAACCTTCACCCAAATGGAGAGTTTAAGCCACTCGAGAGCAGGCATCATATCTTGAATCTGTCACCATGTGACATCTTAAAGAGAAACTTTACATCCAGTGAGTTCCCAGTAAATGTTCAGAGTGTTCTTAACACTCTTGACCTAGCTAATGGGTCAAGAAGCAGCCACAGCTCCTATGTGGCAAGGCACTGCTTATGGAAGCAGGGCCTGGGGTCCTTCTTGGAGATACCAAGTGAAATCTCTTCCCAATTAAATTGTTTCAGATGAGGACTATCACCTGTTCCCCGGGGAGTGCCCTATTAGAGACCTAAAAGCAATGAGTTCATCGCTCAACAGTCATTTAGATGAGAAAACAATTATTTTCATCACTCTAAGCAGGAAGCTGCCCAGAGCCAGAACAGGTTCTCTGAGCATCCTTGAGAGACCTGGACCAGGGAGAGAGCTGGTCCTCACGGCTCCTGGCTGATGCAATCTGAGGACATTCCCCAGAAGACATACTCCTCACTTCTCAGTTTAAGAAAATAAATTAGAAGTTAAGAAAGCATCATCCTACTTTGACTTTAGAGACAGAAGACAGATCCAGCTCATGATACCTCAGTTCAGCATGTGGCAAAGGGCAGAGGCCCTGAGCTCATAGGTCCCACCATGGGGGAAGGAAATTCTGTTGGTACCACTGCCACAGCACACAAGGAAAACCAAAGCATTCTTGCCCACTGCCTTGTCTTTTTTTTTTAACCTTCTTTAAAAGCCTTTTTTCTCTTCTATCAGAGTCCTTCACAGTGACGTATTTAATGAACAGAACACAGAATCCAGTCTCGATGGGTTTCACATCGGTGTGCTACAAGGGATCCCCCAAAACTCTTTATCAAGAAATAACTTGGCTGGGCAAGGGGGCTCACGCCTGTAAACCCAGCACTTTGGGAGGCTGAGGTGGGCAGACCACCTGAGGTCAGTAGTTTGAGACTAGCCTGATCAACATGGAGAAACCCCATCTCTACTAAAAATACAAAATTAGCCGGGCATGGTGGCGCATGCCTGTAATCCCAGCTACTCAGGAGGCTGAGGCAGGAGAATCGCTTGAACCCGGGAGGTGGAGATTGCAGTGATTCGAGATCACGCCACTGCACTCCAGCCTGGGCAACAAGAGCAAAGCTTCGTCTCAAAAAAGAAAAAGAAAGAACTTAAAATGAACATTTAATGCATGTGCATTCATTTTGATCTTAAGTGAAATATATCATTGACACAGTTGGAGAGATAGATAAGTTGATGGGAGAGAGAATTGTATTAAAAAAGGAACCAATAACAGGGTATTACAAGACTCCAGAGAATCACAAGTGTGGTGGCATCATGACACAAATTGCGCCTGTGGCCACCTTCTGTGTGTAGATGGTTCTGAGAGTCTTTTTTGTAGAAAGCAGCAGTCCTCTGGCCATTTTCCTTCCTGACCCCACTGTCCCCTAAGTCCTTTCTTACTGTGGCATTAGAGACCACTGTGTCCTCTGAATGTCCTTGATGTCCAGGACACTGCCCTCTCCAGGGCGTCTCCCCAGCTCCTTGGATGCTTCTCCCCTGTCCTGCTCAGGGCTGCATCATGCCCCAGTGCTGGGCTCCCCAGGCTCTGCCCTTGGCCCTTTTCTCAGACACCCTCCCCAGGGACCTCATACACTTCCATCGTGTCAACTGTTCTCTGGCAAGTGATGGTTTCCAGGTGTATTTCTCTCGCCCAGGTCCACATCCCGTTGTTTCCTGGACACAGACTGGCCATCGTAGAGATTCCTCAGACTTAACATGTACAAAACAAAATGCACCATCCTGGCCCCTAAATCTCCCTTACGTTCCGTGTCTTGCAACTATCATCTACCCTTTCAGCCAAGCCATAAACGAGTCCCTCCTCAAATCCTTCAACTCACTCCCTACATTCAAGATGGCTATTCCCAAGTTCCAGGCAGAAAGAAAGAGAAAGAGGGAAGATGCAATTAAGGCACCTCCAGCTGAGTAAGCCCCCATTAAAAGTTTTCCGGAAGCCCAGCCTGTCATTTAGGCCATATCTCATTAGCCCCCTTGCAACGGTGTCTGGAAGACTTAGGTTTTTGACTGGGCCCTTTATTCCCCCCAATAACACATGTCTATCCACAAAGAGAAAGGAGCCACCAAATGCCATTCTAGTGGCTATCAGAAAGGCAAGATAGAAATCAGGGGCACCCATTCTACTTTCTTAATAACTTTCAAGTTCATCTCCTAACGTACTTGGTTCAGGCCATCATTATTTTTCCGATGGGTTACTTCAATCACCTCTTTATCAAACATCTTGTCCATCACCTGTGCCCCTCAGCTGTTCTCCATACTGCTGCTCCATTCTGCCATCATTATATTTTGTAAATGTGAAAATGGTCTGGCCAGTCCTTGCATAAAATCTTTCAGAGGTTTTCCTTTCACCTTCAAGAAAAAGCCCAAACTGCTTTGCAAGGCTTTGAGCCCTTCCTGATCTGGCTCAAAAGCACTTCTGAGCCTTCTCTCTCCTCTCCTCTCCCCTCTCCTCTCCCAAGCTCCAGGTACTCTGATCACTCTTGTATCCCAGAACATCCCAGTCCTCTCAATGCCACCCCATCTTCATAAGTGCTGTCTCTCTGTCTGCAATGCAGACATTTTCATGTGTAATCAACGATTTAAGATTCAAGGAAGTGCCCCACAGCAAGACCACCTGTTCATAGAGTGAAAAATAGTCAGCAAAATATGTTCTTTGTTACACATGTATAAATATCACTCTTTAAAACACAACAGGCCTGCCTCCTCTGTCTCCAGAAATAACCTCAAGATACATATTGTGGGAGATCAAAATATGCCACCCCAGACTATGAAGCATTGTTGTGCTGAAGGCAATTTAAAAGCTGATACAGGAAATTTCTCTGCTCTCTCTGTATTTACCAAAATGCAAAAGATATACTGCCTACCAGGGAGAAGACAACTTTGGGCCCTTATTGGCCTGGAGAGGAATCTACATTAACAAGCTTTACTAGTGAGCCTTTATCTGACAGTTATTTGCCCTCCTCCAAGTTGCCACCAGCCTCTAGAGACTCAAAGTTCTTTTCCTTTGTCTTGTTTTTAAAATTTTACTGTTCATTGTTAAACTTGCTATACAAGCTGGAATCCAAAGCCACCTATTTGAGAGGCTCATTTTCTGGGTATGTGAAATACACGTTAATAAACTGTTTTTCAATTGTTAATCTGTCTTTTGTAACAGGGGTCCATTCCAACTAAGAAGTTATGAAGATTGGAGAAAAAAATGATTTTTCTTCCCCTACACTATCAAGGAAGAAAGAAAGGTGTGTGAGACTTTTACCCATCACTTCCTCAATAGTCTAATTAGTCCTATGAGCCCAAACTTCCACATGTCTAATAAAAGAAGAGAGAAAATACAACCTCTCACTTGAGAAGTCCACCTTGTCAGCCGAGGCACCCCTAGTTAGATGAAAGCAGACCAAGGAAAAAGTGAAGAATGATGAAATAAAAAGTGAATAATGATGAAAGAGAAGCGGTACCCTAGTTACATATCATCTCCTGCAAAATGTATTCACCAGCCTAGATTCAAACCTGACACATGGGGCTGGTGGGCAAGAACAGAGAGAACCAAGAAAAAACAAGAGGAGAGCTGAAGCTGAGGTGACGGTGCTCTTCCTAGTTTTTTCCAAATGAAGCAGCTAACCTGCAAACACAATTTAAAAAAAAATCAGAGTTACCGCTGGGTAGACACAGATGAAGGTAACATAAGGTGATGTGTTTATAATGCCCTGAGCACAGATCCTCTGGCTATTTGGAGACCCCTGTGCAAAAAGATACCCTGAGTCTCTTTTGCCATCTGTCGACTGGCTCCTTCCTGGGAGCCTTCCCTGGGCCTTGTTCATGCCACTTCAATGTTGTCCTCTTCACTCTAAATAAATGCAACTGGCAGGGAGCTGGCCTATCACCCCACCTGGTACTAACACTTGGCTGCGTGTTTCAGCACACGCGTCACCAGGAATGAGGCTGGTAAATGAGTCAAGTGTCGTAGAGAGAGAAATATAATAATCACCAAGGCTGTCCAATGAATGAAACTGCTAAGAACACACATCAGCTGTCTGTCAATTTATGTTACTGTTGCTCTGCAGGAAAATTCTTTTTAGAGATGTTAGCAGGAAAAAAAGAAAAAACTAAGCCTTTGGGGATCTTGGTTTTCCAGTGACACTTCCCCTTGACCAACTACTGATTCTTCACTCCATACCTTTAAAAGACAAAAAAAAAAAAAAAAATCCATAGTTTAGGCACAAGTTGTTAAAGAGCAATATAAGACAGGTCGGGAAAATCCTAAAATTCTTCTCCACTGCAACCCAAAGCAATTTTTTGTGAGAAAGATTGGTTACATTATGAAAGGAAAATAAAATAAAGATTTGAAGAAAAAGGAGGTTGAGTCACAAAAAGCGCCAGCACCTTAACCGTCCTTGATATTTGCACAGCCTTTGCAATCATGCATGGCAGTAGTCATCTGGAGTACGTAAGAAACTGGCCATCAAGACCACAATACTTTGAAAAATCTGGGATAAGGGTTATCCTCAAAACACCGCCGAGCAGAGCTCACAGATATGTGGGTGCAGCCCCAGAACTGCCCATCCCTTTGTACAATTATTAAGGCCCAGTGATAGCTTGAAGTTGGCCAGCTTCAATTGGCCAAAGGTACTGGCTGTGTTATTGGCTTTCCATGCCTCTTTTCTTCTTATCACCTTTAGTTCTCCAATGTTCCTGGATAAATAACATCACAGAGAAGTCCAGCATCTTTGAGAGCACTAGTGGGCTATTGCATTCTAGGGGAAAAAATATTTCTTTTGTCACCCTTCACTGGGTTCATGACTGAGGCCCCTGTACCAAAAGACAGATGAACAAAAGAAAAGCAAACAAATGTATGTATAGGTTTTACATGACATGGGAGCCTTCATAAGGAAAGGAAGATCCAAAGAAGCAAGGAAACCTGGTATTTATGATGCTAGGTTTGAGGAAGAAATGGACAGTTATGGAGAAGTGTGATTGAACAAAGGGGGTCTGACCTCATGGTAATAACTGTGGGGAAGTTAGGAAGGCCTGTTTGTTCAGATTCTTCCTGTGCCCGTCTTCAGAGATAGGGACATTCCCTTCCTCCAGGTACAAGGAGGGCACCTCTCAAATAACGAGGGTCTTATGACCTGCTTAGGTGAAGGTCAGAGAATCCGTCACAGGTTTTAGGACCTGCTTCAGGGGAGAAGGGCAGTGGGGAAGGTGAGAGTGACTTTCCTGCTTCTGCTGTTTTCTCAAATGGAAAGGTACCATGTTTTGTGGTAGTGTGTCCTGAGCCTCAGCATTATCTAGCACACAACTGGCTCATTTGACATCTCTTTAATTGTAATGATACGTTTATGCCTACAAAGGTAACTCTTCAGTCCATTGTTATTTGCTTGGAGGCTTTTTGCTTAGTAGTAAGGATTTGGATCCATCTTCATTAATCTTTGGATATGCCAAGGCCGTGCATGAAACTACAATAAAGAGAACTTGGAGTAAGTTACACGGCAGTCAGTGGTAGAGTTAATTATGCATGCAGCTAACAACAATTTTGGAACAAAACCAGGTATAAATCAATAAAATACAATAGATCTTGAATTTTTCCCTCTTCTGCAAGCTATTCTCTGCTGCTTAGAGAGGAAGTTTTCTTGAAGTTCTCTAGAGATTGCATGTATTTGGGAGAAAAATACGAAGACAGAGAAAAGCTGTTACTTAACTTTCAAGTTTCTTAACTTTCAAGTTTCAGTTTTGTGTCTCACACACTTTTAACCCAATAAAGGTGAATGAGATGAATGCTACCATGCTGGGGTCCTTCCTGTGTCTGTTTGGAAGCTGAGGCACCTGTCGAGGCACCTGTGGAAGGCCACTGTCTCTTGATTCCTAGCTTAAAGCAGGCAGCCCAGTGGTGAGTGAAAGGCAGTGTAGGGGAAGACTAGACCCCATAGGTTCTTGGTTGGAAAGGACCCCTGTTACAAAAGACAAGAGAAAACAAGAGAAAAACAAACAGAAGTTTATTACCATGTATATGTCACATATTACCATGTATATTTCATATATACCCAGAAAATGAGTAATTCTCAAAGAGGTGGCTTTGAATTCCAGCTTATATAGCATTTTCAACAACAAATAGTAAACTTTTTTTTTTCTTTTTTGAGACAGGGTCTTGCTCTGTCACTCAGGCTGAAGTACAGAGACACAATCATAGCTCACTGCTGTCCCAACCTGCTGGACTCAAGTGATCCTCTCTCTTCAGCCTCCTGAGTAGCTGAGGCTACTGGCATGCACCCACCCTGATAGGTGTTTTTTATTTTTTAGGGATGGGGTCTTGCTATATTGCACAGGCCAGTCTTGAACCCTGGGCTCAGGCAATCCCTCCACCTCAGCCTCCTGAGTAATTGGGACTACAGGTGTGAACCACGATGCCTGCCTAATTTTTTTTTTTTTTTGAGACAGGGTCTTGCTATGTTGCCCAGGATAGTCTCAAACTCCTGATTTGAAGCCATACTCTCACCTCAGCCTCCCAAACTGTTGGGATTACACACATGAGCCATCGTGCTGGCTATGAAATTTGTAAAAAAGTGGCAAGACAAAAGCAAAGGATTTTGAATCTTTATGGGTGGTAACTTGGAGGGGGGCAAATAACTATCAGTCAAAGGCTCATTTGTAAAGCTTGTTAATGTAGATTCCTCTGGTTCCATCTCCAGGCCAATAAGAGTACAAAGTTGCCTTCAGTGGTTAACCTTTGTTCTCTCCGGGAGGAGGGGTGGCCAGGGTACCTTTTGTCTTTGTAAATCTATGTCCTGCTTTTAGGTAACCAGAGGGGAAGATGAGAGCTTTCCTGCATTTGCTTCTTACTGCCTTCAGCTCAACAACCCTTCAGATATTGGAGAAGCATAATCCAGTCCCCCCCAGCAGCTAACTGGAAGCAGAGAAAATGCCTTGAATCATAATTTTTCTCCCTTTTCCCTACTCAGTGGCAAGCAACTGACCATTCTCTTAATCTCTGTGTCTCTCAGAAAGGTAATAATCTGCTCACTAAAACCTGTGGTTTTAGCTGCTGCTTTAAAGCAAATATTTCATGGATAAAGGAAAAATGAGGAATTATGTTCACCACACATCGTCCTTGATTTTTCTCTGAAATTATGGGAAGGAGAGCAGATATGGCATCACATCTACATCATTCAAGAACTTTACGTATCTATTTGTTTTCTAGTATGAGCTGCGCAAACTTCCCCAGAGAGCCACTTATTAATACTCCATTCGCCACAGAGAATACAAGCAAAGCAGGCCAAAGTTGCCATGTCTGATGCAACTTCTTTTAGGGTTGAACCAAGCGCTGATACCTCCAGGAGTCTCACAGTTCAAGCCACTGAAGAGGGCCCAGTGAGGAGAAAGCCCTTCCTTTTTGCCGCCAGCCTTGTATCTTTCCTTTGAAATCCCTAGGCCTTTCTTTCACTTGGCTGGCTGCTACTCATCACACTTAAATTAGAAAACCAAAGGAGAAGGGAGGGTATGGAACTTTTGTGCAGAAGGACCTACAACACTTGGGGGACAGATGGATGTTGGAAGAAAATAATCACATGCCTTTTTTTTTTTTCTTGAAATTGGGTCTCGCTCAGCTGCCCAGGCTGGAGTGCAGTGGTGCCATCATGGCTCACTGCAGCCTTGACCTCCAAGGTACAGGTGATCCTCCCTGAGTAGCTGGGTCTATAGGCGTGCACCACCACACCCAGCTAATTTTTGCATGTTTCATTAAGATGGAGTTTTGCCATGTTGCCCAGGCTGGTCTGGAACTTCTGGGCTTAAGCAATCCACTCTCCTCTGCCTCCCAAAGTGCTGGGAAGACAGATGTAAGCCTCCACACCCGGCTCACCTGCCCTCTTAAGCATGCATTTCTGAAGTTTGCAATTCTACCTCTGCGTCATTCCATCTGTTTGAGGCACTTTCTTTGAGTGGGGGCTGTAGAGGATGGGGAAAGAAGACTCAGGGACCATACCCAGGGATGGTAGTCTTAGCTCTTTGGAAATCGCCAGAGCTGATTTGCTGACTTGCACAATCCAAAGAGAAGCGTTTGATGATTTGTATCCCCATCTCCTCTGACATGACTATGGGAAGTTACATAAAGACTTCTGAGATGACGGTGCTACCAATGTTTTCCACAAAAGCACTGGGTTTGGCCATAGTTATGCTGATAAAAAGGCTGAGACATGGAGAAATATCACCACTGTACAAAAGGTCATTTTATCCTTGACGTCCCCAGGCTTCCCAGTGAGAAAGAACAGCAGTAATCATTCATATTGAGTCTCGTTTTTACTCAGCTACATCTTACCAGGCCTTCTTGAAACTGACGTGGACTCTCAGCATGGAAAGTTCCAGACTTAGGGTTTGTTTTCAAAAGAAACCAGATCTGCAGGCTAAGTAATGAAGTGTTAGGCCACAAAATACATTACCTCCCAGGAAAGCCCCTTAAACTCAGGCAAAATTCTCTCTTTATTTACTCACAGTATTTCACCAGAACTTGAAATTGTTAAAAAGTCTCTAACCAATGACACCACAGGAATGGCCCTTGGACAAGTTCTTGGTCAACCTCTGACAAACAACAGGGTGGACAGAAAAGAAAAAAAATGCACAAACCTATTTGCCAGGCCAGGTGAATGATGAGGTTTTTGTTGTTGTTGTTTCCATGTATTTGGCAGATGGTTACACCGTCATTTCTCTTCCTTTTAAAAGCTAATTCCAAATTTTCCTCTCTAGCATCCTATCACCTGAGGAAGCATGAAGACTTCAGGTGGGGGAGGAATTCAGCACCGATCGATTTTCCTTTCCAATTGGTTTTTTTAATGCAATTGATAATAACCAAAGACTTAAAAAGCCAAAAAGAAACTAATTTCAAAATGATCTCATCTTTCCACCTTGAAGACATATCACTTAATTGGAGACTCTCAAACAGAACCACACATCTGTTAACATTCCTGCATTTCCTCTATTGATTACCACAGGTCATTCCATTAATAGGAAATGGGCGAGCCAGGATATCACACTTTAATTTTTATATCATAATAGCTTGAGGATTAAGAGGAGGCCCATTTAGGAAAGGAATCACCCCAGGAAGGGGCAATTAGGAAAAGAGCAAAAAAGAGTTATCTTGCTGACCTTATCTCTATTAATTATGGAAAGTTCTCTCTCTCTCTCTCTCTCTTCAATTTTTATTTTTCTTTTTTTATGGAGATGGGATCTTGCTATGTTGCTCAGCTGGTCTTGAACTCCTGGGCTCAAGCAGTCCTCCTGCCTCAGCCTCCCAAAGTGCTGAGATTATAGGCATGAGCCACCGCACCCAGCTTCTTTCTCTGTCTCCCCCAGTCTCTCTCTCTCTCTCTCTCTCTCTCCCCTCTCAAGAGCTAATAAAACTAGTAAACAGAAAAGCCAAAGAAACTTAGGCTGCTCATGAATATTCATCTGAGGAAGGCTTCTGTCAATAAGGTGCATGGTGGGAGCTGGATTCTTCCCCTCTTCACCTAGGTTGACCAAGGGGGACATGAAGGAGCCCGTGCAAGCTCAGCCTGGGCACCCACCCATGGAAGGACAGCAGCCTCCAGGGCAAGGTCAAGCAGGAGAGGCCCCAGTCAGATTTCGATATTGAGAAGTACAACCATTTTGTGCTGTTTAAAAATACGGATGTGTAAAACCAGAGCGTAGTCATTCTTTGACATGCTGTGTGATTTTCCTACACAAATCAGAGCTTTAAAAGCCTTGGAGGGGATAAATGGAATCACAGGGCGAGTACAACAGGATACGGTGAGTCATTTCAACTTCCTGCTAAACATGAACCCTACAAAAGCTTGATGTGTCTCAGATTTTTTGCTGGGGGTTTTCCTCCTCGATTCAACCTCGGGTTTCTATGGCTTGCTCCTTCCTTCTTTTTATTTCTTTCTATGCATCACATTTGTCCTAGATCCTTCTCGGTCTATAAATAACATCATTGTGTCATGCTGGACACTGGGTTTTAAATGTCAGCATCCTGTGCGCAGCCTTACCCCATGAGATAATATGGTTTTTCTAACTGCATTCCTACAGCACTGAACTAACTGAGGTGTTCAGCTGCTAAAAATTTTCTTAAATGGTGACATTTTCATAACCCCAGGGTTAGGGGATGGGATTAAGTTAATGGATAGAATTTTCTAGAATTTTCTCAATGTTAGGCTTTTCTCCAGTAGACTTTTTTTTTTTTAGGTTTGTAGTTCTTGTGACTTCTTAAACAATGAACAAAAAGAAAAATGAAAAAGGAATGAATGTTTCTCTTGACGCAAAGAGGCAAGAATAGGATTTTTTATATTTCTGAATTAAATTTATTCTGCTTCTGATCCCCACCTGCCTAGCTGGTAGGAAATTCAGTCTCAGTCATTATTGAGGCTTCCTTCCCCCGCCGTGGCATTGTGAGTGCTATGTGGTACCAGGACTTGAATATGTGAGGAGGGAAGGAATGTACCAGGAGGTTGAGCTGTGGGGGCTGCCACTGTGGCCAACAGTCCCTCTCTCTCTGCTTCTGTTGAGCACTGGTTGCCTGGCAAGATCAGCACATCCTACTCTGAAAGAATTCAGGGAGCCCCCATGTAGCCACTGTGTCCACAGATACACCCATGGGACCCCCACCCTAACCCTACAGGCAACCTGCCACAATCCTCAGGAGGCACTTGGCACAAGAGGGACTGTCTGGGAGGAAAAACTTTTCCTCTACCCTCTTAGGTGCGGTGATTGGGGATGTGCAAACTAAACTGGCAAAAGATAGATGAGGACGAGAAAAAAAACAGATTATAATTGTATATGTACACACTGGAATTCACAAAGACTCAAGGAGTCTCAAGGAGGTGGTTAGAATTCAGGGCTTATATGCTACCCTATTAGGGGAAGGGGAGGGGCAGAGGGGCACTTCTGGGAAAACAAATGACTACTTAGAAATGGAGAAGAAATGGCACTTAGGGAAAACAAATGACTTTTTAGAAAGACAAATGTGCCCATAGGAGAATAAAAGGGAAAAATGATCTTTTTGTAACAATATCTGTTTGACTGTGGTACCAATTTCTCATTTCCAAGAAGAGAAGATTAGAATTGCTTCCAAGGAGGGGATTTATAAAAACTGAGTTCTTTTGGGAGGCTCTGCTTTTAGGCAGATAAGAGATTTCATGAACTCAAATGCCTTCAGCTCAAAATAATTTTTTTATGCCACCTTGGCTTATTCTAGACCCCTTCAGGGCCCAGGACCTCCCATGTTTAGAGATCCCAAAGCCAGTCCTGCTCTTAATTTCATGGACTCCCCCACTCCTTACCCACCAACCCAATTCAATTTCTCAACTGTGAACATTTTCTTTCATCCCTTTCCTTTCCCAGAAGGCCCAGTGTAATCCTACTCAAAGGGCCTTTACAACAAATATCAGGTGGAGTTGTCTTCTGGGTACCAACAAGTCATGCTTTGGTCTTATAAGACAAGACTCAGTTTCTCAGGAATGAGGAAGGTGAAAATACAACAGGGAGAACAAAAACACATATCTCAATAAACTGCCTGTCAAAAATATCAATGGAATGACTTAAAAACATGACTGTACTTTGGATATATGTATTTTTCTATTGTAATGTTTCATTGCATGCCCGCACATAACTTTCAGTCTCAATCATTGTTGGGGCTTCTTTCCCACCTCCATGGCATTGTCAGAATTGCTGGTATAATTATTTTACATTTATGGCCAGACACGGTGGCTCACACCTGTAATCCCAGCACTTTGGGAGGCCAAGGTGGGCGGCTCACCTGAGGTCAGGAGTTTGAGACCAGCCCGGCCAACATGGTGAAACCCCATCTCTACTAAAAGTACAAAAATTAGCCGGGCATGGTGATGCATGTCTGTAATCCCAGCTACTCAGGAGGCTGAGGCAGGAGAATCAGGAGGCAGAGGTTACAGTGAGCCAAGATCATGCCACTGCACTCCAGCCTGGGCAAGAGAGTGAGACTCTGTCTCAAAAAAAAAAAAAAAAAAAAAAAAAAATTTTTACATCTGTGATAGTCTGCCAAAAGCACCTGATTTTCAAGTTCTATATCCCCTGAACAAGTTGCAAACTACTGATATTGTATATGTGAAAATAACTTGTGCCCTGCCAAGCACATGGTGGGTGTAGAACAATGGCCTGTGTATTCTGAATAATACCATCTGATTCAATGTGGGGGAGGGAAAAAAGAGAATGAAATGTGTCTTGGGGAAGAGGGGCCACTCGCCAAGAAAAGGTGTGATCATGGCCCCCTTAGAACTGAGATCAGAAGATTTATCAGAGTATAGAAAGATTGCCAGATGAAAAACAAGATGCCCAGTTAAATTTGAATTTCAGAGAAATAATCACATTTTAAAATACAAGTATATATTATATGATATTTGGGACATACTTATACTAAAAAACATTCATGGTTTATCTGGTCAAATCTAACTGAGTATCCTATATTTTCATTTGCTAAATCTGGCAACCCTAATTACAGGGCCCTTCTAAACTATCAGCTTAAACCATTGGTAACATGGATACTGCACCCGACAGCGCCGGATTTGAAAGGGTGCCCTAAAGTAGACACCAAGGTGGGTAGGTCGAATAATGTAGCACATCATGTCAACATTGCTGCTGGCCTCCAGGCCTGCATCGCTTTTCTCTGCCGCAAGCTGGAGCTGGCACTGTTTTGGTAGCAATGGTTGCTGTGCCCTGGGCAGCAGGCAGCAAGGCATCCTGCAGGACCAGGGAGCCCTTGGCTGGGAACATTCTGTTTCCTTCACAGGTTCCTCTTCAGCCTCCAGTCCAAGGCCCAGTCTTGGGCCCCCGCTCTCCTTTCTTCACGCTTTCTCTAAAAGAACATTTTTCCAGGCTCACACTTTCTTTCAATCATCACCTCTAAGCGGATTTAGTCTCCAGGGGCTCAGGCAGCAGCCCCACTGTTGAGCTGCACTTGGGTTCCTCATCATGTTCTTAAACTCAAACAGGCAAAACAAAACTCACAACCCTCCCTCCAGACCAGCAGCCCCTCCTCGTGTCTTTGGGTAGCCCTGGTCTCTATTAGTCCAACCCCTGGTGGCATCTTTGACATCACTTTCTTTCCCTTCCCATAACAAATCAGTCTCCATAGTCTCAGCAGTTTTTGTTGTTATTGTTTATTTTATTTTCATGATATTGGCGCTCAATTACAATGCCCCCAAATCCAGGCTTTCTGTCTCCAAGTCTGTCTTGTTATTGTCATTCCCCTGCTGAAAAGTTTCCATGGCTTCCAGCTTCCTGCAAGGTTAAACAGAAACTTTTTTTCCTGTCTTTCATGGCCCTCCATAATAAAGGCCTGCTCTGCCCAGAAACTTCGGTTCCTACTATTTCCCAACACATTTCCTCTTTCACAGCAAGGCTCCCGACCTCTGTCTCAGGAATCCATCAATCCCATTTCCATCTCCACTGCCCCTTTCCCCATGGAGAATGTTCTTGCCTCCAGCTGTCTAAATCCTGCCCATCCTTTAGAGACAAGGGCAATTTCCTTTTATATTGTGGAGATTTCCTTGTCTAATCCAGCCTGCTGGGATCTCTTTCTACAGCCTTTACCTTACAACAAAGGACTGTAAGGATACAATCATGAAATTTTCTTTGATTAAAAGGATGGAGGAGGCTGCTCCCTTCACCAAGATCCTGACTTTTCTCTCTTTGCACAATATTTTTGGTATCCTTTTGGGGTGGAGCAACTGAGTCAGGAGAAAGATTTTCCAGCTCCACAGGCAGAGTCCCCTCTAGACACAGACTTCCAGTATCTCCCAGCATCTGGTCTCCAAATCGGTGACACACATACTAAGCAAACGGCTTTGAGGAGCTCACTTTTCCCTCCAAAATGAAAACAATGAGAAAAATCTAAATTGTATTGCATTATGATAAAAATGTTCCCCAGTGTTAATTTAATGCATAGGCAGTGCTTATGGTTCTTCTTGACCTTAGTGAAACTTTTTTTTTTTTAAGGCTACTATTGTAGTAGATCTTTGGCACTGGTCAATGCTATGAGTCAACCCTTTGAGGAAGTTGTGGATCTTGGTTTGTGATTTATCCAGTGCTGCCTAGTTAATATCCTGACTTCTCCCAGCTCCCAGCTCTGCTCGTCCAGCGGTTTCCATCAGTTCAGAAACATGAGGCCCCAGGGCAGGACCGCATTCTCTAGTGAATCCATTTCAGATACTATCATTAAAGCCCATCGTGAATAAAGCTATGGTGGGCCTAAATCCAATCTTTGTTTCTGAAATTTGGTAAGGACCATCTTCTTCATAAGAGTTCTAATGCTTTCAAATTTCATAACTATCCAGATGGAACAAATAAAGACATTGATTCTAAATGGCCATTTCCCCTAGATATTGATGGGCTGGGAATAACAAGAATGATTCATGGAATCACATGAAATCAAATTCCATTTGGAAACTGGGTAAGGTAAAAACCGTATATATAAAAAATATATAAGAGGCCAATCACCAGCAATGTAATTTTAATCATATCCTGGGACCTTGCTCTAATTAGCAAGATCATTTCTGTACAACGCAAACTCAGAACAGACCCTTTCCAAGGATGGTCATTGATTGAAGCAACTCTGGGTACAGGGTGGAAGGGAGCAAAGACCAGAGGAAGGAAAGCCAATTAGAAAACTATGGCCAACAGTTCAGGCAAGGTCATGAGGACCTGAAATAAAATGGTGAGAGCAGGAAGAAAAGGACACCCTTAAGAAGCATTAAGTCTGAGTGTGTCTAATGAACTGACCAGTGGCCGGCAGAAGCCATTTGTTTAAGGAGGTGATGCTTGGCAGAAGGAAGTAAGAGAAAGAGAGGAATGCACTTACTCAATGGGGGTGATGTCTGCAAGAAGGTGCTTATTGTGTTTGTACCAGATGTTGGACCCTGACCTGGCCCCATGGATTTATGTCCAAGTTCTGCTGAAACTTGGCTGAAAGAGGAGCTGTGAGACACAGGAGCCCAGACATGCTGCTTTGTGCCCAGTGATGAAATGTAACCCAAAAGAGAGGCGAGCCATGTTCTCCCCTCTCTTGCCCAGGACCGAGGGTGGCTCAGCTCAGGGATGTGGGTGAGGACCAAGGCATTGAGTGGGCCTGGGGAGCAGGAGCTGTCAGGCTTTTGGCAGAAGCCCAAGGGTCATCCCAGGGAACACAAGCAGCAGAGGAACCCAGCAGTGGACCTGGGGGCCAGGGACAGCATAAAGGCACGAGCCAAAGAAAAGAAGCGAGACCCCAGGGACTCACAGCGATAAATGGCTGAGGTTCTGAGTGATGGGGGAGGGGCCGGAACAATGAAATGTGAGTTCTGACAGTGCATTTGACCTCATCTGTACCCACAAGCTGGCATGCCTGGAAGCATTCGTGTTGCAAATAGACACACACCCGTACTTATCACATTACATTACAATCCACAGTTTACATAACTTTCTTCCTCGATACTCTCTGAGCCTCACAAGCATTAAAGACACAGATCATTCATCCTTGTGTCTCAGAATAGAGCACAGGACAGGTAGTAGGTGCTCAGTCAGTGGTGGCCTGTAAATGGATGAAATACCAAGAGGAATCTCATCACCCAGTCCCCCAATACTAAAACAGTGTTACTACGAAACTCCAACATTAGAAACAAAAATCAACAGCATGCTTCCTGTGGAAACCAGGATTCCCAGAATAACACTATGGCCCAGAAGACCCTGGTCTCTTCAGGTACTGCTGGCAAGTTGCTCTATTTCTCCACTCCTGGCAAAACAGAGATGCCTTTGAACTTAATAAAATAGACTTTCGGCCAAAAATAGCAAGCAAAATCAGAGAAGCCAAAAAATTAAAAATAAAACATTATTTTCCTTTCTGTGTGCAGGGGACGGCAGAAGGGGCAGGGAAGCATGTTAATTAGCTATTCTGGTGACCACGTATTTAAGTAACAGCCACACTTAACATATGCGTCCAACCAGCTTCAATTCCATGATCTGAGAGGTGGTGCTCTCCAGAACCGCTTGGGCCAGGAAAAGGTGACTAGAGATTTGATTAAAATGCAGGCCCATGCCGGGCGCGGTGGCTCATGCCTGTAATACCAGCACTTTGGGAGGCCGAGGCAGGTGGATCACTTGGGGTCAGGAGTTTGACACCAGCCTGGCCAACATGTTGAAACCCTGTCTCTACTAAAAATACAAAAATTAGCAGGGCGTGGTGATGGGCACCTGTAATCCCAGCTACTCGGGAGGCTCAGGCAGGAGAACTGCTTGAACCCGGGGGGCGAAGGTTGCAGTGAGCCAAAATAGTGCCACTGCACTCCAGCCAGGCAACAGAGCAAAACTCCATCTCAAAGAAACTAAAATAAAATAAAACGCGGGTCCTAGAGGAAGAGGAAGGAGCTCCGATGGAAGTGCTGCTACAGAAAAGTCACATGGAAGCCCACAGAGCCACCAATTAGATCTGCTGCCCAAACTCCACAAAAGCAAAGTTTGAAGAGACAGTGAGGAGGAAATAGCCCAAAGAGGCCACTCCTTCCTGCAGAGGTCAACCAGCTGCTCTGAATTAAGAACTCTCAAGTCACTGACACAACGCAATATGACACCTTTCCAGCTGATGGAGTGCAGAGCAATTTTAGTGTGGATGCAGAGGCTTCTCCCTGGTGGGGTTGCCCGGCAGGGGTCACAACCCAGAATAATCCCATTAAGTTCCAGCTGCTGCACCCCATCCCCTGTAATTTACGGTCATGTCAGGGCCTTACCCTTACCAGTGCAACCAAATTTAAACCCACTCTTGGTGATGATTCTGCGATTCTGTGTGAGCGCAGCCTGGGGGTAGGAGGAAGGAGGGAGCAGCGGCTTAAAGAGATGCTTTCATTTATGATCCAAGATCTGAGTTGTCCTTCCCCCTACCCTTTTTCTTCTGCCAGAGACACTGATTTTTTTAACTGCTCTGAAAGAGGTCCACACTTTAGAGCTCCATCGTCTTTGGCTCCTCCCACTATTGATGAGAAAGAACAGAATTGACTCCCAGACCCAGGCAGGCAACTTTTCCAGCATTGCGGCCTCAGCCGGCTACCAGGATCGGAGGGAGCTCTTTGTAGGCTCTGGAGAGAATTGTTTTCAAAGCCAAACATAAGGAATATCAATTATAATGTTTAAAAGAATTTCAAAACAAGTGTTTGGCATTCCAGCTTACTTTTCTAGTCTCCACACTTGAGGAAAAAAAAAAATCTTGTATTTCCAAACACTAAATTATGTGGCTTTTGACTTTGAAAATGGCCTGGTGATATTATTTCTTAGGATCTATGTGGTACAGCAAATGGTGTATCTGCCCATCACAACTACTCTAAAAGATTCAAGAGTCGCTCAATATTAAGCTGAGATGAGACAAAGATAAGACATGAAAATAAATTTCAGGTCTAACTGAGACTGGCTTAATAAGACTGATATGGTACAAAAGCATACGAATTTTTCACTCCCCTACTAAGAACATATTTTCCAACACGAATCCTGCCTTCCAGGACAATCCAGCCCAGTCTGAAATAATGCATGTGTAAAAAGGAATGGAATAGGAAACAGAGACAAGTGAAGGTGGCTATAGAAGTTCAGAATACAGGCCGGGGGCAGTGGTTCATGCCTGTAATCCCAGCACTTTGGGAGGCTGAGGTGGGCGTATCACCTGAGGTCAGGAGTTTGAGACCAGCCTGACCAACATGGTGAAACGCTGTCTCTACTAAAAATACAAAAAAATTTTGTGGTGGTAGATGTCTGTAATCCCAGCTACTTGGGAGGCTGAGGTAAGAAAATCGCTTGAACCCAAGAGGCGGAGGTTGCAGTGAGCCGAGATCGCGCCATTGCACTCCAGCCTGGTTGACAAAAGAGAGACTTCGTCTCAAAAAAAAAAAAAAAAAAAAAAAAAAAAAAAATTCAGAAGACAGAAGTGCTTCTGGATGGAGAGAGGGAGATGGACAGGAAGCTGCTCTATTTGCAAGAACAACTGAGAAGCTTCATGGGAAAGGGAAATGGAGCTGTCTATTTGGACACTTACAACTGATGCCTTTATGAAGCTCCTCAGACAGCCGTACGGGGTCAACACACTTAAAGAGCCAGCAGAGCCCTGGATGAGAAACTTCCCGGCCAGCTCCCTCTGGACCACAGCCATCTTCCTAAGAAGGCGGAGATGAGCTAAAAACTGAGTCAGTCGAAGCTCTATCACTGTCCCATTGCAGGCTGTGACCTGGTGTGGGGGAAAGAATTGTAATCCCCACCCACTCACCCTAACCCAGAGCCTGATGGAGAGGAACAGGATAAAAGTCACACAGGTTCCTCATTCATGAGGCCTTCTGGAGGCAGACAGAATCCCAACTATAGTGGCCAGACCAACAGTGTGGGGTCTGTTGTGGGGAGCTGCGGTGGTGCCTCCATTGCCATCACAGCCATTTTCAAACACTAAGCGACTCCCTGTTGGTCCCCACCCAGAGGGAAAGCCCGGCAGGACTAGAGAGATCCAGCAGGGCTGGGGGAGAGTCAGGGGGCTGCTGCGGTTCCTGTGACTGGGACAGTTTGACACAGTGGGACCAGGATGGCTCGGAGAAACTCACTACCCTACTAAGGGCTGTAAGAGGACATGGCATTCAGGCTGGGCCTCAAGGAGGAGAGTGTGAACATCTGGATGAAAGAGAGGCATGCACCCAAAGGTTTCACACAAAGGCATTCAGTGATGAAAATAAAATATAGAAGAAGAAAAGGTGCATTTCCAGGAATGAAAACCGGATAGAGCACAGACCCACATAAGCATGCACATTGTTTTTTGCCTTCTTTCTTGCAACTTTTCCATATCTTATATCAGCTCAGGGACAGAGCCATGAGCTCCCTCCAAATTTTTCCACATCCCAGCTCTCTGTGGTTCATTCATCGTAATGTTTTTTTAAGTCATGATGTGCTTAAGATATTAGGAATGAATGGAGCTGCACTCACCTGCCCCTGCTGACTGCTTGTTACTGCATCTATCCTGCTCATTGTTCTAATTCTACTTATTTTTATTTTTTTGAGAGAGTCTCACTCTGTCTCCCAGGCTGGAGTGCAATAAGGCTCACTGCAACCCCTGCCTCCCAGGTTCAAGTGATTCTCCTGCCTCAGCCTCCTGAGTAGCTGGGATTACAGGTACCCGCCACCATGCCTGGCTAACTTTTTTTTTTTGTATTTTTAGTAGAAATGGGGTTTCGCCATGTTTGCCAGGCTGGGCTCGAACTCCTGACCTCAAGTGATCTGCCCACCTCGATTGTTGTAATTGTAAATTCCCCACCACACACACTCACGTTTCATTTCTCCCTCCTCTGACATTAGTTCGCCTGACTTACGGAAGTCAGGGGACTTATCTCCTGACAAGGCTAGGTGATGACTTAGGAGAAGGAGGATCATGGGTCTCTGGCCTGAAGTAAGAGCTTCCCTCTGGGATAAGGCAGGAGTTGGAGGCTGCAGGTGCGAGGAAGGAAGCCAAGGTCAATGTCACATCTCACTATTCAGAGTGTGGTCTGGGGCCAGCAGCATCGGCATCATCTGGGGGTTTGTTAAAGATGCAGCATCTCAGGCCCAGCTCTAGAGCAACCGAATCAGAATATGCATTTGAAGAACATCCTAGCAAACAGATCTCCAGTCGCATTTGAAGAACATCCTAGCAAACAGATCTCATTGGTATTAGCTAATATCTACGATACTATCTGTATTATCTAACAGATAACCGACAAGCACTGCACATTGAGGTGTCTCTCTACCTATGTCATCTCTTTTAATCCTCAGAACAACCTGACACAGACAGTCTGACCCTCCTTTTTACAGAAAAGCAACCGTGGCTCAGAGAGGTTAACTTATTTGCCCAAGACCACACAGCTACCTTTCAGCAAAACATAGAGTTTAGCTGAATCTGGCTGATTCCAAAGTCACTGTCTTTTCCACCACATATCTGAAGTCCAGTGCTGAGTGGAGAAAAGAAAATTCTAGCAATAAGCCCTCACCACCCAGCAAGTCAGTGATGTCAGTCAGTATCCTGACTGAACAAATGCATGCAGACAGGCAGTTATCTGAATATTTGTCAGCAAGTTACAAGCCCAGTGGGTTGGGAACCCGGAGTGAGGATCCATTTCTGAAGGCCACAGGAGGACTGCCACGAACCAGGCTGCACCCCTGTCCTAGGGCATCTGTAACACTGAGCAGGGACCCCAGGAACAGGCAGACCTGACCAGCCCCACACTGGGAGAAACGCTCCAGACCAGCAGCCAGTTCTGAACCCGATGTAGCGGACAAGTCCGGGGCTGCATGCCAGATGGCAGAGCAACAAATTGCAGTTTCTTTTTTTTTTTTCAGAGGGAGACAGGGTCTTACTATGTTGCCCAGCCTGGTCTTGAATTCCTGGGCTCAAGCAATCATCCCGCCTCAACCTCTCAATGTACTGGGTTTACAGGTGTCAACCACCACACCTGGCCTAAGTTAAAGTTTCTTAAATCCTTCCCACCTAAAATCAAACCTGGGCTTGGGGGAAAGAAGCAGCTGTAAGAAGACCATCCTGAGGACAGGATACTGACTAAAGTCATTGCCTTGCTGGGTAGTGAGGGGTTTGCAATGTCATGAGCAGCTTTTGCTATGTGGTGAGCAACTGTCCCGGCATCTGCCGTCACGGGCTGGGAAGACCAGGTAAGAGTTGACATGCCCTGCTAGAGATGAACCCAAGGTGCTGTGGGCGGCCCCACCCAATATATTCTCCATGGAACCCAAGAGCCTTGTCAAGTTACTGCAAATGCACAGTCTTAGTTTCAAATCAAGGCCCTCCATCCATAACTGCTTGTTTCAAGGGAAGGTCGCTGCCAAACTATTTCTTCATTTCTAATAGGCACCTAGAAAGCAACAGAGGGATGGTAGAAAGCCACATGACAGCCATTTGGCAAAGCTTTTCAGAATTGCTTTTCTATTTTTCTGTTTTGTAGGCTCTGGGGTTCCATTGAGACTTCTACAGTCAAGCAAGGATCCCATTTCTTAACATTTTGCAAGCCTTTTTTACAAATGCCAAAAAACATGCCTAGGGCAGAGCCATGGACTTTCTGAGCTCTGTTTACTAAACCACAGATTGTGACAGCCCCAGAGCTGGTTGTTCCCATCCAATCTGTCCTTCACATTGTTACCAAATCTGGCTTCTTAAATCAGGCCTGTCACCCTGTTGTTCCCTTGCTGAAGGACTTCTATCACTGGTGGGAGCAAGTCCAACCTCGGATTTGCATTGGCACCCCTTCATCAGCAGGCCTGCTTCACCCCTGAAGCTTGGTACGTACTGTCCATCCCCCAGGGCAGGGAGTAGCCAAGCCCAGTTCCTTCGTGCCACTGGGCCTTCCTACCGCAGTTGTTTCTACCAACTGTGCTCCCTTAGGCAGCATGGTGGTGAAACCAAGCCAAGGCCAGAGTCATATGGCAACAGCCCCACAAACTATGTGTCCTCTGCCCAGCTGCAGGTGTCGCACAGAGGTTAGGTGAAGTGGCGTGCTGATAAAAGTTTAATAAGTGGCTCTCCAGGAGAGAAAATGTGTGCATATGTAGATGTAAACACATAGGTTTATTATAAACTTTACTGCTATATGATACACACAATCTGGTAAATTCCATATAGCCAATTGTTTCTTATGTATGCTTTCATTGATTTTTATTTTACTTATTTTTATTTTTAAATATAATAACCAGAGACAGGGTCTCACTATGTTGCCCAGGCTGGTCTCGAACTCCTGCCCCATCCTCCTGCCTCAGCCTCTCAGAGTGCTGTGATTACAGGCATGAGTCACCACACCCAGCAACTTCCATTGATTTTTGACAAACTCTCTTCTCTGTAGCCAACCAGTGTGGCAACTGATGAACAAGTATAGTTCTGGGATGGCTGTTGGTTGCTATTTTCATTTATGTAAACAACAGGAAAGTGAAACAACTAAGATCTGTGTCAGAATTCCACTCATTCGTCAATGATAGGAACAACTCCTTTACAGAATCAGATACAGTTGTCAAAGACTGGAGGAAGATTTTCTCAAATTTTTTTGTGTCATTCACAAAGTAATGGCTATTGATAGGCAGACTTTAAAGTTTTATCTGTATGTTTAATATTATCTCCCTCACTTCCTTAAGTCTAGACCAAGGGTTCCATAAAATTTGACTCTTACGAGCCAGATAGTAAATATTAACTTTGTGAGCTATTCGGTCTCTGTCACAACTACTCAACGGGGCCATTGTAGTGCCAAATCAGCCGTCGACAACAGGAACACAAAAGAGCGTCCCTGCTATGTCCCAATAAAACTTTTTATGAAAGCAAGTGGGGGCCCAGATTTGGCCCACAGGCTGTAGTTCCCAACCCCTTGTCTAGACAACCAATGAGACAATAAATCCAGCCTGATTTGTAGCGTTTGTTTACAAATCAGTTGCTGTGGCTATTTCAAGCTAACAATGCAAAGTCACTGCACGAGGAGTATGGGGAGGTGGTGTTCACCAGCTTGTAGAAATCTAATGTCATATTTCTACTGGTGTGAGTTTCCTAGGGCTGCCATCACAAGGTGCCACAAACCAAGTGCCTCAAACAACAGAAATTCATTGTTCCACGGTTCAGGAGACTGCAAGTCCAAGTTGAAGGTGTGGGCAAGGGGGGCTCCTTCTGTGAGCCCCGAGGGAAAATCTGTTCCCTGTGTCTCTCCCAGCTCCTGATGGTTTGCTGCCGTGTTGGGCGATTCTTGGCTTCTGCTGCATCGCCCCAATCTCTGCCTTCATCTTCACGTGACATCCTCCCTGCGTGCATATTTCTCTGTGCCCAAACTTCCTCTTTTTATAAGGACACCAGTAATATTGGACTAGGGCCCCACCCTAATGACCTCATCTGAACTAATTACATCTTCAACAACCCTCTTTCCAGATAAGGTCACGTTCTGAGATACTGGGGGTTAGGACTTCAACATATGAATTTGTGGAGGGAGGGAACACAAATGAACCCATAAGACCACCGTACAGTGACAATAGTCATAAAGAGCTTCTAGAGCATAGATAATAAAAAATAGTTGGGAGGCCGAGGCGGGAGGATCACGAGGTCAGGAGATCAAGACCATCCTGGCTAACACGGTGAAACCCTGTCTCTACTAAAAATACAAAAAAAAATTAGCCGGGCATGTGGCGGGCATCTGTAGTCCCAGCTACTTGGGAGGCTGAGGCAGGAGAATGGCGTGAACCCAGGAGGCGGAGCTTGCAGTAAGCCGAGATCGCGCCACCACACTACAGCCTGGGTGACAGAGCGAGACTCCATCTCAAAAAACAAAACAAAACAAAACAAATAGCTAAACAGGCTGGGCGCGGTGGCTCATGCCTGTAATCCCAGCACTTTGAGAGGCCAAGGCGGGCGGATCATGAGGTCAGGAGTTTGATACCAGCCTGGCTAACATGGTGAAACGCCGTCTCTACTAAAAATACAAAAATTAGCTGGGTGTGGTGGCAGGTGCCTGTAATTCCAGCTACTCAGGAGGCTGAGGCAGGAGAATTGTTTGAATCCTGGAGGCGGAGGTTGCAGTGAGCTAATATTGTGCCGTTGCGCACCAGCCTGGGTGTCAGGTGAGACTCTGTCTCAAAGAAAAAAAGAAAAGAAAAGAAAGAAACAGCAAAACACCTGGGAAGTGATGACTTTTGAGTATTTATTATATTTACTTTAATCTAATTTATTTAGTTGTAAGTTCACTTATTTAGTTTTATAATTTATTTAGTATAAGTTCATGTAAGACATACATACATATATATTTGTTTGTTTGTTTTTTGAGATGTGGTCTCACTCTGTCACCCAGGCAGGAGTGCAGTGGTGCAGTTTTGGCTCACTGCAACCTCCGCCTCCGCCTCCACGTCCACCTCCCAGGGTCAAGTGATCCTCCCATCTCAGCCTCCCCAGTAGCTAGAACCACAGGCACGTGTCACCAGGCCAGGCTAATTTTTGTATTTTTAGTAGAAACGGAGTTTCATCATGTTGCTCAGGTTCATCTCAAACTCCTGAGCTCAAGTGATCCATCTGCCTCAGCCTCCCAAAGTGCTGGGATTACAAGCATGAGCCACCACACCCAGACTATAGTTTAATTTATAATAATAGGTGTGTTTAACAACTGGCTCACAAAATTCTAATCAACTCTCTTAAGCCAAAATGCGTTGCCTTCAGCACACCCCTGGTTTAAGGGGATATGTGCTACAGCAGAGCTCCCCAGGGAAGTAGGGTCCTGATATAGTTTGGCTGTGCCCCTACCCAAATCTCAACTTGAATTGTATCTCCCAGAATTCCCACATGTTGTGGGAGGGACCCAGGGGGAGGTAATTGAATCATGGGGGCTGGTCTTTCCCATGCTATTCTTGTGACAGTGAATAAGTCTCACGAAATCTGACAGGTTTATCAGGGGTTTCCACTTTTGCTTCTTCCTCATTTTCTCTTGCCGCTGCCATATAAGAGGTGCCTTTCACCTCCCGTCATGATTCTGAGGCCTCCTCAGCCATGTGGAACTGTAAATCCAATTAAACCTCTTTTTCTTCCCAGTCGCGGGCATGTCTTTATCAGCAGCATGAAAACAAACTAATACACGTCCCCCCCAGGGGCCGGAGACAAGAGGAACCAACCCATGGTCCTGAATTCCTCCCCTCCCGTGGGATCACTGTGAGGCAAGATGTGTCCATCTCACCCAGTTTCCCCACCCTTCTGGCCCGCTGCAGTTACCTGAGAGCCTCCATCTCACTGGGCCAAACTTAATTCTGCTGCTCCAAAGAAAAGGTGACAATTTCTTTTTGTGCTAAGCAGGAGGATATCAGGCTTCACACCAGAGCCCATCCTTACTCATTGTTCTCTGGTTCTCAGTCTCCCTCCAAGGCCAAGTAGAACCCTTAGATCTCCTAGTATCTTCTTCAATAAAGCCAATCCACACAAGTCTATGCCTTCACTGAATTCCTATACAATCTATTCCCATATGGCATCATATTATCCTCTAGATGACTTCTGCATGAATCTCCTCTGTCTCTACTAAATTTATAAAATATTTGGAAAGACAGGCTGTGTTCTTTGCTATCTCTTTCTGTCCAGCCCAAAACTAGCCAGATAAAACCAGGGGTTTAATAAATGCTTGTTGTTTGCATAGAGAATAGCAAATAGTAATCAAAAGCAATTTTGTCCTAGGTCCAGGTTAGAAAGAATCAGGCTTTGTTCCAGAGGAGGGCCAAAGTAAAACTCAAGTATAGTAATCATTTCTGCTCACAAGTTTTAGCATGTCTGAAAAGGAAAGAACGGCTCAGACCAAGAAGCAGGCTCAGCGAGGATGGCTTCTCCGTGTCCTCTAACTGTGCCTCATGGGGATATGCCGAAGGTGGGGACAATGGCCAGCAGCCCATGAAGAATAAGGAATCCCCTGTGTGTTAGTTAGGCTAATGCTGTCTGTCATAACGAGCACACTCCAAATTCTCAGGGGCTTCACAAGATACAGAGTTATTTAATTTTGCTCACATCAATGGTAGAGACTGGTGGTTGGGGATGGAGGGAAGGAGGAGAATGGGGGAAGGGAAACTCAGTTCACACAACCATGGTAAACACACCTGACAGAAGCTATGCCATCTTCCACACATGGTCCCCATGCCCTGGCCCTGGGGGCTGAGGTCAGTTGGCATTCCTGGAAAGAGAAAACATGTACAGGATCCTGTAGGAAAGTTCTGGGGCCAGGACTAGAGGCGGCGTCATCATTTCTGCCCACATTCCATTGACTGGAACTCACTTTCATGGCCCTACCTGGATCTAGATGGGCTGAGAAAGCAACAACTTTACTGTGGGAAGGGAGCACAAATCACCAACGGCAGCTGTCCTCTCTGCCACTTCCCAGGTCCAAGAAAAAAACCAACAATGGGACTTCCTGGCTTTGATCCTCCCTCTTCTCCTCAGGAAGGTCCATGCCTCCATGCCAAAACAACCTATGCCACCATGCAAAGCAACGATTTTGTCACTCAGTAAGCCCTACCTCCCATGCCTAACATCCAGATTCCAGACCTTAAAATCCTTGCTATCCCTTCTCTTGTAAAGGTTCCCTTTTCTGCATCTAAGCCCCAAGCTACGTAACCTTCCTTTATCTGCACCTGCATCACAAAGCCTAGGTCTTCCATATAAATGAGTCTGGCCAGGACTTCCCATAATCCCCAACAAGGTGTCTTAGTCCCTTTGCATCACTATACAGGAATACTGAGGCTGGGTAATTTAGAAAGAAAAGAGGTTTATTTGCCTCACGGTTCTGCCAACTGCACAAGAAGCACGGTGTTAGCATCTGCTTCTGGTGAGGACCTCAGGAAGTTTCTACTCATGGCAGAAGACAAACGGGGACTAGCAATGCATGGCAAGAGACAAAGGAAGAGAGAAGGGAGGAAATGCCAGGCTATTTCTAATAACCAGATCTCCTGGGAACTAACAGAGCAAAAATTCACTCAATACCAGGAGAACAGCATCAAGCCATTCATGAGAGACTTGCCCCCATGACCTAAACACCTTCTACCAGGCCCCATCTCCAACATCAGACATCAAATTTTAACTTGAGATTTGGAAGGGACAGACATCCAGATTATATCACAAGGATAAACCAAGTCAGAAGCTTAATCCACCCTGCTGTGTAGAATTTGTCTTGGGCATTCAAAAAGGGTGGATAGTTAAACTCTAGCAGAGTTGTAAATCATTCACAAGAATTGTTCTAAGCCAGGGAAGAATATCACTTGGCTGGAAAAGTTCAGTCAATACATGAGAATGGACCTGATATCTCAAATTCCTTTCAGCTCCGAGGGAGTCCAGTTCCAGTTGCTATGTCCTAGTTCTATGTGGCTAGAACATCCTTCAGTTGCTCTGTTCAAGTGAAGTGGCTAAAGTCCTACTTGTCATGTGGTCTTCTGCCTTCAAATGGTTCTCAGTTGCACCGAGTGGGAAGCAAACAACATCACTAAGGTTGGCAGTCATTTTTGTGTTTCGGTAGGCTCAGTCTCTAAAGAATGCTCAGGAACAGCTGGGTGCAGTGGCTCATGCCTATAATCCCAGCAGTTTGGGAGGCTGAGGTGGGTGATCATCTGAGGTCAGGAGTTCGAGACCAGCCTGGCCAACGTGTTGAAACCCAATCTCTTCTAAAAATACAAAAAAATTAGCCAAGCATGGTAGTGGGCGCCTGTGATCCCAGCTACTTGGGAGGCTAAGGCAGGAGAATCGCTTGAACCTGGGAGGCGGAGGTTGCAGTGAGCCAAGATCGTGCCATTGCACTCTAGCTTGGGCAACAAGAGCAAAACTCCGTCTAAAAAAAAAAAAAAAAAAGAATGCTCAGAAAGCCCATTCTATAGACTCAGAATACAGACTCAGAGATGCCAAAAGCTGTAGGATATTTAAGGGCATTCTCCAAGCTTCTGTATCTCAGAAAGGGACACAGGGATACCCAGTTTTGATTTTCTAGACTCGGGTAGAAATTTGACTGTTTTCAGTCTGGAAATCTACTGCAAGTAGCCATTGTTTGACTTCGAAACATGTGCCACTATGAGTTACCAGAAATGCCACACTCTGAAATTTTTTATTTGTTTATGAGCCATGAAATGACAGTTAGAAAAACAGCTAAAGTGGGGTGAACACATCCATAGAGTAAGTTCCCCAAAAAATGCCAAGTTAGAAGATAAAAGATCCAGAGCATAACTCAGACTGATACATGAAATGAGAGGAGAGAGAAAATAAAATACTAAACTTAAAGACAGCATTCGTATGTGGAAACAAGTGGAGCTGAATTGAGACAACTATTGTGTCATGGCCCTTGAAGGAAAACAGCAAATAAAAAGAAATACTCTCACACCACCTAAAACAAATTTACATGATGTTAAGAATGTTGGGCCAGGTACGGTGGCTCACACCTGTAATCCCAGCACTTTGGGAGGCAAGGCGGGTGGATCACGACGTCAGGAGATCAAGACCATCCTGGCTAAAACGATGAAATCCCATCTCTATAAAAAAATACAAAAAATTAGCCAAGCGTGGTGGTGGGCACCTGTAGTCCCAGCTACTCGGGAGGCTGAGGCCGGAGAATGGCGTGAACCCAGGAGGCGGAGCTTGCAGTGAGCCGAGATCGCGCCACTGCACTCCAGTCTGGGCAACAAGAGCGAGACTCTGTCTCAAAAAAAAAAAAAAGAATGTTGAGCTTGACAAATTTTAACCCTGGGATTTAGAAACTTGAATATATTTGAATTAATTTTACAGTAGAAGGGGAAAAATAAAAAAATGGAATGAGGAAGCTTTATAAGAAAAAGATACCAATTTTAAAGCTGTTCTATTTAGCAAAAGAAGTGATGGAATACTAACAACCCATAAAAAGTGGATGGATCATCCAGGTCCTTGGGAAAGCAGAGATGAGACATTTATTAGCTGAACAGTACACAGCAGCCTTAGATGAGACCACGGGGTGGGTGACAAATGGCCTCCCTTCTGAAAGACTCTCCTCTTTTTTCCCAGGAGAATACCCAAAGTAAAACGTACGCCTTGGGCATCTGAAAAGATGGTGAAATGTAAAGCCTCCTACTACGGCTTTAATCACGTAAAGCTCCCAAAATAAAACCTAAAGGGGAAAAACACAAGTCAAGCAACTTAACATTCAGCCTATGTTTAAGAAATAAAACCAAATAAAATAAGAAGTAAAACTCCATACTCCAAGGTGTGCATCTGGGACAATCTATATTGTGAAAGCCAGACTGTAATGGAAACTGCAAATGTCATTAGCTGCAGAGCTGCCAGCAGACCCTGCCACAGCAATGGCCATGCAGCCACACCCCACCAAGGGTCCCCGGAGGGCCCATTGATGGGATTCTCACAAGACACTGTACCCTTGATTGGACTAACTATGAATAGTTATTCCCTTCAAAGAAGAGGAGAGTTTAAGAAAAGAGGGTTCTGCTCCTTGACTTATGACAGAATCTTTTCTATATTGGAGAAGGAGAGCAAGAGCACACTGCCATGGTGGTCACCCTGGATGGCCTCCAATAACCTACTTCTTTTCATAGTCACCACCTTGTGTAGATCCCTCCCACACTGACTCTGGGCTTGGCCACATGACTTGCCTTGGCCAGTGAAACTTGGCAAGAATGACACAAGCAGAGGCTTATCCTTCTGGAATGCTTGTTTTTAGAGGCCTGGGCCACCAAGTGAAGAGGTCTCTCTATCCTACTGGTAAGTCCACGTGGAGTGACAAACACATAACAGCAACCAGCTCTTCCAGCATCCCGGAGGCGGCACCAGACATTTGTTGAGTGAAACCCGTGGAACAGAATAGCTACTCAGCTGTGCTCAGCCCAGATAGCAGAGGTGGGGGAAATCATAATTTGTGATTGTTAAGCTACTTTGTTTGGGGTAGTGTATGATGCAGCAATCAATAACAGGTTTTGTATTTACCAATGAGAGGACTTCTTGTCAAATGCTTTGACTGTGGAGATCAGTTGGACTTTAGTGCAAAACTCATAACCACTATTGACTAGGAGTGTGATTTGGGGTTGTTTATTTAACCTCTCTTCATCTTTTTCATGATAAAGTGGGTTCCTGTTGGTTGCTCCACCACCTTAGCATTTATGCTTTTCCCTTCTAGGGATGCCAGTTGCACCATAGCTCCAGAAGTTGGACCAAGGAACCTTAGAAAAGCCATTAGTGTGTTCTATCACCTGGCCACACACACATACACACACACATGCACAATGGTTTAGGGCTAGTCTTTTATTTATTATTATTATTATTATTATATATTTTTTGAGACAGAGTTTTGCTCTTGTTGCTCAAGCTGGAGTGCAATGGTGCCATCTCAGCTCACCGCAGCCTCCACCTCACGGGTTCAAGCAATTCTCCTGCCTCAGCCTCCTGAGTAGCTGGGATTACAGGCATGCACCATCAAGCCAAGCTAATTTTGTATTTTTAGTAGAGACAGGGTTTCTTCATGTTGGTCAAGCTGGTCTTGAACCCCCGACCTCAGGTGATCCGCCCGCCTCGGCCTCCCAAAGTGCTGGGATTACAGGTGTGAGCCACTGCACCCAGCCATGGCTAGTCTTATGACCTAACCCAGTCTGATCAGAATGAATCTCAGGACTTCAGCTGAAACTGTGAAAGATATTTCTTATTCTAGAAGCCAGCCTGAGGATGAAACCAACACACACTGCAGGGAATATTCAATAGAAAGAAATCAAAGGAAAAAGAATTTGAACCCAGATCCAAATGCTCCTAAGTGAGGATCTACCTTGAACTTTTTCAGCTATGTGAGCCAACAAATTGTCTTTATTGTTTAAATTAGTTCAAGAGTTATTACCTACAACCTAAAGTATCTGAACTGAGATAACTGGTCGCCTACTGTTTTAACTGCCACACACCCCTTTCTTCTTCTGGAAACACTACTTCCCTTCTTTGGGGGAACTGTTCCTCCCCCCACCACCACACACACGCGCACACACATACACAGTTCTAAAGGAGGCTGCAAATTAAAGCCGGCCCCAACATCCCTTCTCAACCCACAGGGGAAAATATAAGGCCCAACAGACATATCAGAGCCTTTCCCTGCATTTTAGGGACTGAAGGAAGACAGATGATCCCTCTCTGGTAGTGAAACCAAGAGCCGCCTACAGCCCTACTTCCAGCTTTGTGATAAAAGCCAACTGAGAGACTGAGAGGAGAATCCTAGAACATTTAAAACCCTGGTTCCAAGTGATCTTGAGGCCATCTGCCACCTTGAACCTTCGGTGAACTGGCTGTGTGCACCAGTGAATCCCCCCACTTCTCATCCCTGCATCTTTCTTGGGTGGGTTTCTTCCCTTTCTTTGACCAGGAGTCCTGATCCTACCTTTCTGACCTGAAGCAGACACCCAGAAGCTTCCCAAAGACAAGTCACAGAACCCTCTAGGCTGCCTTGTGCTCATCTTTGAAGTGAAGGGGTTGGGCTAGGCACAGTGGCTCACACCTGTAATTCCAACACTCTGGGAGGCCAAGGCAGGGGGATCACCTGAGGTCAGGAGTTCAAGATCAGCCTGGCCAACATAGAGAAACCCTGTCTCTACTAAAAATACAAAAAATTAGCTGGGTGTGGTGGCATGCACCTGTAATCCCAGTTACTCGGGAGGCTGAGGCAGGAGAATCACTTGAACCCAGGAGGCAGAGGTTGCAGTGAGCTGAGATTGCACCACTGCACTCCAGCCTGGGCAACAAGAATGAAACTCCATGTCAAAAAAATAAAAAATAAAGTGAAGAGGTTGGATGAAACTTTGTCTGGAGTGCCCCTTGGCTTTATTCTGGGCCTGAAGCCCTCCCAGACTGCTGCTATGGTTTGAGTATTTATGTCCCCCTGAAATTCATATGTTGAAATCTTAACCCCCAAGGTGATGGTACTGGGAGGTAAGACCTTTGGGAGGTGATTAGGTCAGGAGGGTAGTACCCTCATGAATGGAATTATTGCCCTCATAAAAGAGACCCAAGGGAACCCATTCATTTCTTCTGTCATGTGAGGACACAGCAAGGTACCATCTATGAACAAGGAAATAGTCCCTTACCAGACACTAAATCTACCAGCACCTTGATCTTGGAATTCTCAGCCTCCAGAACTATGAGAAATAAATTTCTATTATTTATAGGCAGTTTATGATATTTTGTTATAGCAGCCTGAATGAAGTAAGACAAGCCCCTGTAGTCTCCAGCAAGAATGACAACAGCACCCACTTTGTCTACATATAACTTTGCACACCTTTCTCTTCTTCTTATCATGCCCCATTTTTGTTAAAGATTGATTCATAAAGTTAACATCAGCTATCAGCACATGCCTAACAATATCAACAGCTTCCATTTATTGGGTGCCTACTTGGTGCCAAGTTAGGTGTTTCATATATTGTTTCCAATCCTTACAACCCACATGTACCAAATGGTAGTAAAAATAGAGGCGAATTTTCAATATCATACTGAATGGGAAAAAGCTGGAAGCATTCTCCTTGAAAACCAGCACAATACAAGGATGCCCTCTCTCACCACTCCCATTCAACATAGTACTGAAAGTTCTGGCCAGGGCAATGAGCCAAGAAAAAGAAATAAACGATATTCGAATAGGAAGAGAGGAGGTCCAATTGTCTCTGTTTGCAGATGACATTATCCTATATCTAGAAAACCCCATTGTCTCAGCTCAAAAGCTTAAGCTAATAAGCAACTTTGGCAATATCTCAGGATACAAAATCAATGTGCAAAACTCACAAGCATTCCTATACGCCAACAATAGACAAGCAGAGTCAAATCATGAATAAACTCCTATTCACAATTGATACAAAGAGAACAGAATAAATAGGAATACAGTTAACAAGGGATGTGAAGGACTTCAAGGAGAACTACAAACCACTGCTCAAGGAAATCAGAGAGGACACCAACAAATGGAAAAACATTCCATGCTCAAGGATAGGAAGAATCAATATCATGAAAATGGCCATACTGCCCAAAATAATTTATAGATTCAATGCTATTCCCATTAAACTACCATTGACATTCTTCACTGAATTAGAAAAAACTACTTTAAAATTCATATGGAACCAAAAACGAGCCTGTATAGCCAAGACAATCCTAAGCAAAAAGAACAAAACTAAAGACATCACACTACCCTACTTCAAACTATACTACAAGGCTACAGTAACCAAAACAGCAGGGTACTGGTACAAAAACAGATAAGCAGACCAATGGAACAGAATAAAGATCTTAGAAATAATATCACATACTACAAACAACTGATCTTCAACAAGCCTGACAAAAACAAGCAATGGGGAAAGGATTCCCTGTTAGGAAATGGTGCTGGGAGAACTGGCTAGCCATATGCAGAAAATTGAAACCGGACCCCTTCCTTACGCCTTATACAAAAATTAACTCAAGATGGCTTAAAGACTTAAATGTAAAACCCAAAACTATAAAAACCCTAGAATAAAATCTAGGCAATACCATTCAGGATGTAGGCACAGGCAAAGATTTCATGAGGAAAATGTCAAAAGCAATTGCAACAAAAGCAAAAATTGACAAATGGGATCTAATTAAACTAAAGAGCTTCTGCACAGCAAACTAAACTATCATCAGAGTGAACAGACAACCTACAGAATGGGAGAAATTTTTGCAATCTATCCATCTGACAAAGGTCTAATACCCAGAATTTAGAAGGAACTTAAATTCACAAGAAAAAAACAACCCCATTAAAAAGTGGGCAAAGGGCTGGGCGTGGTGGCTCAGGCCTGTAATCCCAGCACTTTGGGAGGCTGAGGCAGGCAGATCACCTGAGGTCAGGAGTCCAAGACCAGCCTGGCCAACATGGTGAAACCCCATCTCTACAAAAATACAAAAATTAGCTGGGCAAGGTGGCGGGTGGCTGTAATCCCTGCTACTCAGTAGGCTGAGGCTGGAGAATCGCTTGAACCCAAGAGGCAGAAGTTGCAGTGAGCGAAGATCACACCATTGCACTCCAGCCACCTGGGCGACAGAGCAAGACTTCATCTCAAAAAAAAAAAAAAAGTGGGCGAAGGACATGAACAGACACTTCTCAAAAGACGACATGTATGTGGCCAAAAACCATGAAAAAAAGCTCAACATCACTGGTCATTAGACGGATGCAAATCAAAACCACAATGAGGACCCTCTCGTGCCAGCCAGTCAGAATGACGATTATTAAACAGTCAAGAAACAACAGATGCTGGTGAGGCTGTGGAAAAATAGGAACACTTTTACACTATTGGTGGGAATGCAAATTAGTTCAACAATTCTGGAAGACAGTGTGGCAATTCCTCAAAGACCTAGAGCCAGAAATACCATTTGACCCAGCAATTATTATAAGTGAGAACCTGCAGTGTTTGGTTCCCATTACTGGTATTTCTATTATTGGATAATACACCCAAACGAATATAAATCATTCTACTATAAAGACATATGCATGTGTATGTTCATTGCAGCACTATTCACAATAGCAAACACATGGAATCAACCCAAATGTTCATCAATGATAGACTGGATAAAGAAAATGTGGTACATATACACCATGGAATACTATGCAGCCATAAAGAGAAATGAGATCATGTCCTTTGCAGGGACATGGTTGGAGCTTGAAGCCATCACCCACAGAAAACTAACACAGGAACAGAAAACCAAACACCACAGGTTCTCAGTTATAAGCGGGAGCTGAACAATCAGAGCACAGGGACACAGGGAGGGGAACAACACACACTGGGGCCTGTGGGTGAGGAGCTAGGGGAGGGAAAGCTTCAAGATAAATAGTTAATGCATGCTGGGCTTAATACCTAAGTATTAAACCTGCACATCCTGCACATATACCCTGGAACTTTAAATTAAATTAAATAATAATAAAGGCAAATTTTGAGCCAACCCCTCCCTTTTCAGTCCTCCAGATCCTTGCCTCTGCTTTCCAGTAGTCCTCCTCTCCAGACATCTCTGAGAATCTCATGTTGTGCTTCCTAAGGCCATTATGGTAAGAATTTGTTCATAGTTCCACCAATGTGAGGTTCTCAATCCTTCTCCTCTTGTGTCTTTCTTTGATTCCTCAAAAGCGGAGGGAGCCCAAACTGGAAACTACTTGCAATGCTCATCAGCAATAGAATGTATGAAAATGTTGTGGGATATTTACTCAATGGAATCCCATGCTGCAATGAGAGTGAATGAATGACACCTACCCACAGCCATATTTGCAAAAGAAGTAAAGTACAGGAATGATTCCACTTATATAAAGAGCAAAATCTGGTAAAATGTACCCAAGGCTTTTTAGATGTCAAGATAGGGGCGACCTTGGGGAGGAATGACAGGGAGGAGGCAAAAGTAGTACTTCTGGGGTGCTGGTCACATTTTGATACTTAACCCTGGTCAGGGATTAGGTTCAGTTTATAAATGTTTATTGAACTGGACACTTAGGGCTTGTGAGTTTTCCTGTTCTTTCTCATACTCCAATACAGAAGTCTTAAAATGAATATAGGAGATGTGCTATCCCAATGTCCGGGCTGCAGTGCTTGGCTGCTGCTATCCTGAGTTCTTCTCCAGGCCCACCAGTGTCAGAACCTACAGAGCTTTCATTGCAGGGCCAACACTGCATTTGGGGGACCTATTTACCTATGACACAGCGGTCCTGGTATCCTGTGCCATCTCTGCTGCTGCTGCTTTCTGGAAGCCTCACGTTCCATGCTGCTTATCTCCTGGACTTATCTCTCTCCATCCGATACGGAGAAGCCCTTTGTTTTTTTTTTTTTTTTGAGACGGAGTCTCGCTCTGTTGCCCAGGCTGGAGTGTGGTGGCGCGATCTCGGCTCACTGCAAGCTCCACCTCCCAGGTTCACACCATTCTCCTGCCTCAGCCTCCCAAGTAGCTGGGACTACAGGTGCCTGCCACCACGCCTGGCTAATTTTTTTTTTTTTTTTTTTTTTTGTATTTTTAGTAGAGATGGGGTTTCACTGTGTAAGCCAGGATGGTCTCGATCTCCTGACCTCGTGATCCGCCCATCTCAGCCTCCCAAAGTGCTGGGATTACAGGTGTGAGCCACCACACCAGGCTAGAGAAGCCCTTTTTATCTCAGGGGCCCAGCTCTTTTGATACAAGGGTTGGGTGAGGGTGAGGCACCTCTCATGCTACTGTAACTTCAGTTTTACTGCCCAACTCGCTGAGAAAGTCTTCCCCAGGAGAGTTTATTATATTTCCAGTAATAAAGAACTCTGTTTTCATCACGCTTCTCCTGCCTGGGATGTGTTAGCACTCTGGCAGGCAGTTAGTTCAATGAGGGCCATATGGTATTATGGTTAGGAGCATGGCTCTGGATCACTGCCCCCTCAGTCCTCGCTCTGCCACTTCCTGGCTGTGGGTAAGTTCGTTAAATTCTCTGTGTCTAAGTTTCCTAATTCAAAAGAAAAAGGCCTTCTTTATAGGGATTGGAAAGATTGAGAGTATATTACATGTTAATTGCTTAGAACAGAGTCTGGCATATGGTTAAGGTTTCAACTAAGCTTAGCAACAGTGATTACTTGTCCCTACCTGTAACCTGCTTTTATCTCTTGTCCTGCCCTGAAGCCCATTAGCCATGTCTGTTCACTCCTGAACCCTGGTTGAGGGCAGAGTTCGTGTTCTCGTCCAATATTTCATGCCTGTTAGAGAGGTTTTATCTATGCAAAGCACACAACCCCCATAAGTGGGCCACCTAACTCTAAATGCTGGCATAGCCACGTCTTAGGTCTGAGCTGGCCAGGATACCATCAAAACCCCTGGCAGCCCTGTGAAATAGGAAATGTGAGGCCCGTGTTGCAAATGTGGAAACTGAAGCTCAGAGAGGTGTAGCAACTTGCCCAGACTGATGTGGCAGGTACATAGCTGAGCTGAATTCAAGGCAGGCTTATGCTGACTCTAAAACTCAGGTCTTTCCCATTAGGCCACATTGTCCTCTCAGGCACCAGGCACTGTGGATGACAAGGAAAGAAGTGGCACTATCCACTTTACATAAATTGTAACCTAGCGCAGGAGGGAAGACATAGACACGAATCAAAAGTTAAAAACTGGCACAGCCACAGATTATTAGGCCTACACAGGCCGAAGCTTTGAGGAGAGCTGCCCTCAACCAACCGACTGAGGTTAGATATTTTATTCTTTAAAATGAAGTTTCCAGAGAACAATTCTTAGAGGAAACAGAACGAGCAAAGATAGTCAGTGGGTCCAAAGGGTCACAATTGGGATTATGGGGCTAGAAAGGATGGACAAGCCAAGGATCAGAAGTCAGGCAAAGGCAGAGCCAGACAGACTCTTCCAGGCACTGAGCAAAGCACTTTATATATCCATGTCTGTGTTGGGGTCCCCACAACTACCCTCAGATTCAATGATTTGCTGCAGGGACTCAGAGAACTCAAAAAAGATGGAGTAAAAGTTACCATTCACTCCAGAGAAAGGACGCAGATTTAAATCAGCAAAGGTAAAAGGTATAGGCCAGGTGTGGTGGCTCACACCTGTAATCCCAGTACTTTGGAAGGCCAAGGTGGGTGGATCACCTGAGGTCTGGAGTTCGAGACCAGCCTGGCTAACATGGTGAAATGGTGAAAACCCATCTCTACTAAAAATACAAAATTAGTCGGGCATGGTGGCGCATGCCTGTAATCCCAGCTACTCAGGAGGCTGAGGCAGGAGAATTGCTTGAGCCCGGGAGGTGGAGGTTGCAGTGAGCCGAGATCGTGCCATTGCACTCCAGCCTCGCAACAAGAGTGAAACTCCATCTCAAAAAAAAAAGAAAGAGAGAGGGAGAGAGAGAGAGAAAGAAGGAAGGAGGGAAAGAGGGAAGGAGGGAAAGAGAAGAAAAGAAAGTTATACCAAAATAAGTTTACTGAGTTAGAGATCAAGCTGGTTAATGACCTACAGGACAATAAAACTATAAGCATTGAGGTTATCTTTTCTACCAATAAAAAATCATTTATGTCTCTAATAAACAAAAGTCTCTAAGTTAACATGTAACTTCACAGCATCTGAGCCCTAATCAATAGTAAACAGAATTCAATGAAAAGTACATTCTCTTGAGAATCAAATAATCTGTGGGTGAGCTTGTTAGACAAGACCCCAGGGTGACACCAAAAGTTTTACATAATTTTTCTTAACGATTGTTATGGTTTGAATGTCCCCAAAAATTTGTGTGTTGAAACTAATCACCAATGTGATAGTACTTAGAGGTAGGCTGATTTAGGACGTGATTAAGCCATGAGGGTACAACATTCACCAGTGAGATTAGCAACCTTATAAAACAGCTGGAGGGAACTAGCTAGGCCCTTTTTGCCCTTCCATTCCTTCCACCAGGTGAGGACACAGCATTCATCGCCTCCAGAGGTTGCAGCAACAAGCTGCTATCTTAGAAGCAGAAATTGGGCCCTCACTGGACACTGAAACTGCCCAGGCCTTGATCTTGGACTTCCCAGCCTCCAGAACTATGAGACATACAATGCTGTTGTTATAAATTGCCCAATCTCAGGTATTTTGTTATAGCAGCAAATAGACTAAGACAATAATAGACAGGGGGTTTTTTAAATGTAAAAATAGTTGAGAGTCCTACATCAACAAATCACAATTTGATTGATAACTTCAGATTGTCCACTTTAGGTCTAAAGCAATTTGCAAGCAACTATTTTGTCATTTCCCAAGCTTACCTGATAGATTTTTGCATTACAAACAGAATTGCACATTCTGTACTATAAGAATATTGTTAAAATGCAACATACTAAAAGGCTATTTCCAAAGCAAATAGAGGCATCAACTGCCAGGGAAAAACAGGGATTATCAAAGAATATCAGTTAAAGCTCTACCAAAAATAGAGCTCTTCAAAAATACTAATCCCCTAGTATTATGGTTAACTATTTGTTTAAACACACTTAATCCATCAAAGATACTGTTTTGATTGAGTCACTTGTCTTTATGAATAAATGGTAATGGGCTTGAATTTCCACAATACTTTTTACTCTTTAATTTAGAGTCCAATAATTCAGGTTTTTTGAAAATCCAGCAGAGGCTGTTCTGAAGTTTGTTTTTGCACTGTGCATGAAAAAAATAGTTTGATAAGAATCCCAGTAGTGGCAATCAAGTTTGGAGAGCAGGCTTAGGAAAGAGTATTTTAACTACTTATTAACTTTAAAATATTGTGAACACTTTAGAAGCATCTATTTACATAAAATCAATGCAGTAATTAGAGATTATTCTTATCTCTTCATTAAGATAAGTCTCCTGAGAATCTCTATTCATCACTTAGTGCAAGTCCCTCATCTGACTTCATCTGAAACACCTGGAAGATGCTTTAAAAATAGAAATACACATAACCCAGCCCACCCCTGAGATTCTGATGCAGCAGATAGAGCCCAGGAACATCTACTGAAAAGCTGCCAGTGACTATGATGCACGCCAGATATGAGGACCCCTAACCAGGAGGGACACGTTCTTCTGCTGGACTATCTCATATGACAGTGCATCCTCAGGATCACTGGCTCCCAGGTCTGAAAAATAACTTAGGAAACATGTAGCTTGATATAGAAATTCTATATGTCCTGCAATTCTGACTTTTAAGTAAAATGGACTGGACTTAGCCCCCAGATCGTTCTAATGAACTCTGTATTTCAATCTTGCAATTCACAGCAGGAACCCAGATTCAGTCAACCCTGTCCAGTGCTAGAAACTGAAGCCAAAGCTAAGGGTTGGCAAGCCCTGGCCAACAGGTCAAATCTGTCCTTCTGCCTGTTCTTATAAATAAAGTTTTATTGGAACACAGACATGCTTATTCATTTAGAGATTATCTATGACTAGGCAAAGTTGAGTAGTTAGAAGAGAGATGATACGGCCCACAGAGCCTAAAATATTATCTAGCCCTGGCCTAAATCTTCACTTAAATGAATGAATACATTATTTTTCTTTACAATTAAATATAAAGAACTTCAATCCAAAATACAGCTCTTACAATTCAATAAAAAGAAGACAGTGCAATTTTTCAAATGAGCAAAAAATGTGAAGCCAAGCTTCATCAGAGAAGATACATGAATGACAAATAAGGACATGAAAAGAAGCTCAACATCATGAGTTATCAAGAAAACATGCATTAAGACCGGGCACAGTGGCTCATGCCTGTAATCCCAGCACTTTGGGAAGCCAAGGCAGGTGGATCACCTGAGATCAGGAGTTTGAGACCAGGCTGGCCAATATGGCAAAACCCCATCTCTACTAAAAATAAAAAATAAAAAAAAATAGCTGGGTGTGGTGGCACATGCCTGTCATCCCAGCTACTTAGGAGGTTGAGGCAGGAGAATTGCTTGAACCCAGGAGGCGGAGGTTGCAGCGAGCCAAGATCATGCCATTCCACTCCAGCCTGGGCGACAGAGTGAGACTCTGTCTCAAAAAAAAAAAAAAAAAAAAAGGAAGAAAATGTGCATTAAAACTACGTGCTTACTAGAATGGCCAAAAGTAAAAAAACTGATCATGCCAAGCACTGAGAAGGATGCAGAGCAACTAGGACTCCCATATATTGGTGATGGGAATACACAATAGTACAACCACTTTTTTGTTTTTTTGTTTTTTGAGACAGAGTCTTGCTCTGTCGCCCAGGCAGGAGTGCAGTGGTATGATCTCCGCTCACTGTAACCTCTGCCTCCAGGGTTCAAGAGATTCTCCTGCCTCAGCCTCCCAAGTAGCTGGGATTACAGGTATGTGCCACCATGCCCAGCTAATTTTTGTATTTTTAGTAGAGAAGGGGTTTCACCATGTTGGGCAGGCTGGTCTCATACTCCTGACCTCAAGTGATCTGCCCGCCTCAGCCTCCCACAGTGCTGGGATTACAGGAGTGAGCCACCATGCTCAGCCAGTACAACCACTTTGGAAAACAGGTAATTTCTTAAAAAGTTAAACATAAATCTACTATACAACCCTGCCATCCACTATGAAATATTTACCTGTAAGAAATGAAAGTGTATGTCTATACAATTGCTTGTACACAAACATTCATAGCAGTTTTTTGTTGTTTTGTTTTGTGGGGTTTTTTTTTTTTTTTTCTGTAGAGATGGGATTTCACTATGTTGCCCAGGCTGGTCTCCATACTCCTGGGCTCAAGTGATCCTCCCACCTCAGCTTCCCAAAGTGCTGGGATTATAGGCATGAGCCACCATGCCCATCCACAGCTTTATTTTTAATAAAAACTGGGAACAACCCCAATGTTCATCAACAGAAGAATGAATAAACAAACTGTGGAATATCCATACCATGGCATACTACATGTAATAAAAATGAATGAACTATTGATACATGTAACAACATGGGTGAATCTCAAAATAATTACGCTAAGCAGAACAAGCAAATACAAAGTACATTCTAAAAAGGCAAAACTATGGAGACAAAAATCAAAGCAGTGATA